>NC_000012.12:32581675-32734370 GCF_000001405.40 Homo sapiens | reverse complement strand
AAATGTACTATTTTTGGAGAAAAGCGGCAGAGAAAAAAAATGGCTTCTGGATAAATTGCTCTGTCCACCAGCCTTGGCTCCATCTGAGATCTTATTCAATTTGTTACATTAAAATCAAAAGGAAAGAAAAGATCCATGAAATGCAGCCACCCCAGTAGTGGTGAAAAAAGCACTCTGCTTTTCCAAATTTATGCTAAGTTGGTTAATTCTTGAGTGTTTCCTTCACAGCTTTCAAAGCCAAATGAAAAGAATTTTAAATACTTTGTTGTACACACTTCCCCTGTATAAACTATAAGTTACCAAAATAGAGCCAGTCACACCAAATCAATGAATTTTCAGATTCTTTCTGAATTTCAATTTCATAAGCAGAAAGTAATAATGCCTGCAGGTGGTTTTGAGAATTAAGAAAACAATGTAATCCCCTCAGCATATTTCCTGACATGCAGCAGGCACTAATGTGGCACATGTCTATTTTATAGTTACTCCATGCTAAATAAGTTTGATATAACTGAGTTACAACAGATTTTTCTACCTGTGAAAAAGCATTTAAGAATTATATTTACCTCTATATTATTGTTCATTAGCCCACAAGCATCAGCAAAGTCTGGATGTTTTGTGTTGATATAAGCCAGTTCAATTGCCACTAAGTTATGGACCTAGAAAAAAAGTAAGTTAGGCGATATACAAAAATACATCAACCATATTTTACTTTGAGAAATTTATATATAAAACTTATGAAACAGACAATACCGAAAAAGTACAGGAAACTTATGCCTAAATTACTTGATAATTATATTCCAACTGATAAATCTTATGCCAAACAATAATTTACTCTAGCTTTAAAATTATTTACATTTCAGCATCTAAAACTGCATTTCTAAGAGGGAAAAATAACATTAAAGTAACTACAAGTATTTTACTCTTAGGGAAAAATAGTCATCTACCTAATGCAAATCTAAATTCCAACACTTTATGCAACTTTGCTATTAAAACTTCAGATCATCCACTATTCCCTGTCACTTTTTTAGTTCATTTTCAACAATAAGAAAATAAGTTCGTAACAAGGCATAAGTTAAAGATGTTAACTTATTTGGGTAAAGGATACATCTAAGGACCTGAGGTAGTGACTGATTAGCCTTAACTATAAAGCACCTAGTTAAAATATTATATGTAGTTCAAAATCCTAAGAGGAAAATAAAAAAGAAAAGTTAAAATTAATTTATCCAGCCCTCTACAGAATTGCTAAGTCTTTTTGTTTGTTTGTTTGTTTGAGACGGAGTTTCGCTCTCATTGCCCAGGCTGGAGTGCAATGGCGCGATCTCGGCTCACCGCAGCCTCCACCTCCCAGGTTCAAGTGATTCTCCTGCCTGCCTCAGCCTCCCCAGTAGCTGGGATTACAGGCATGCACCACCACGCCCGGCTAATTTTGTATTTTTAGTAGAGAGGGGGTTTCTCCATGTTGGTCAGGCTGGTCTCAAACTTCCGACCTCAAGTGATCCACCCGCCTCGACTTCCCAAAGTGTTGGGATTACAGGTGTGAGCCACCACACCACTGAGTCTTACAGAGAGAATAAACTTGAGCCCTTTATTATGTGCTGTCCTAACAAATCTCAGGTATCAGAACAGCACTTATCAGTCCAGAACTGGGTAAAAAGGGTCTATTAAAATGAAGGTCCAATGATTCTGGGCTAAATTCAGTCTTAGACATCAGAATCTGAGGGCTATCCTTGCTAAAGAAACAACCAAGCAGCAGCACTTACATTCCAAGGATGGTTTTGTACTCTTAGTAAACCTCCACGGGGTTCACCATCCTGAGCCAAGGACCCAAATGCACTTTTAGTGATCAGAAAGAAAACAAAAAACAAAAAACCCAGCCAACAATTAGAGGCATGAGGGCAATTTTAAATGCTTATCCCATATTTCTGCCAATTTCAGCATTTTTATTTGTGTGGATAGCAGCAACCCACAGAATAGTAGCAAGCAACTACGATATTATAGTTATTAGGTCATAACAAGCAAACTGCAGAAGTGGCCAGATTACTCCGATGTACCTCAAAGTAACAGTGTGCTATAAATGCTCAGTTTACTGAGGCTAAAGATGGAACTAATTTTCTCTTAAGATCAGTGGTACTAAATAATACAGCAAAGCTATTCACACCCCTCAATCATAAATCTATTTTCAAGAAAACCCATGCCTGCAGGCTAACAATGATTAAAATATGAAGAAAAAATGCACTTTATACCAGAATTATTAAAAATTTTCCTTTAAAATGAGACTGAAACTCAACTTGTTTTTCCTCCCAATACACTGGAAAACATTATGCCTACACTCTAAAGTAACCATATAATGCTTATTAAAAAGCAGCCAAGCAAAAATTTAAACTTTTACTAATAGTAATTACAATGATCTATGCTATAGTAGCTCACCATTTCATTTGTAACAGGCAACCTTTTACGAAGAAGACAAGTCACCACTTCAACTATGGCATCATGAAGTTTAGGAAATCGTAACAATTCCTACAAATGGTAGATGAAAGAAAAACGTGTTTGTTTTTTGTTTTTTTTTTAAGTCATAGTCTCACTAAGCCATCCTCCCACCTTAGCCTCCCAAGTAGCTGAGACTACATGTAGAAGCCACCATGCCAGGCTAACAGTCATTTTCTTTTACTTAATGATCACAGAAATACTGAATTCAATTTGGAGACTACATTTAAGAATCCTATTTCAAATCACTTTCAGGTAAGGGAACTACAGATTTTACCTTGTATCCCATCTTATACATTTCCTTCCACCCAGTGAAACCACCACTTCATGTCCTTTTCTAGTTCATGTGAAACCTGTTACATTTCTCTCCGTTACCTGTGTACTGTAATTGCTACAGTGCTGAATGATCCTTTGCATTTCCTCATGAACCAGTTCCACACAGCGGAGGCTGGGCTCTTCTAGACGTTTGATTTGCCGCTTCACCAGTAACTCAAATGAAACCTCAGGCACAAATAAAGCAGGACGAGGACCCTGAGAAAATAAAACTTAGAACTCTTATTATATATGTAATTTCAGTTCTTCCCAAGGGTTAAGAAAGTCACATTTTTGGTACTTTTCATGAAAAATGCTTTTTAATTTCAAATATGAGAGCAAAATAAACTGTATAATTAAATTTAAAAAGACACAGTATATGGGTAAGAAAAACTTTAACCTCATTTTTTTTTACAGTCTAAAAAGCTAAACATACTCACAGTAGCATTTCTAATGGCAGTCAAAATGTCAATAGTGTTAAGGCCACCAAGTGGATCAACAGATTCTAAGGTTCGCCCAAAAGTCTCATGGAAAATATAACAAATTCTAGCACCACCGCATCTGAAAGGCAATGAAGTATATGGTTTCTGGCATTGCAAAAAGGGAAAGAAGATACAAGTTAGAAGTCTTTCTAGAAGCTTTAAGCTCATCTTATTTTCTGAGAAAGCCTCAGATAAACAATTTCATTCATTCCCATTACCATGTGTTCTAACTCAGCTCATTATGAACTAGTTTCTCTAATTTTTTTAAAGGGGAAAAGGAATCATTAAATTATATATATGTAAATATAATAAATGTTCTGACATAAATCAACAGTTAACTAAGAATTGCTAAGCACCTTTTCTCTGCCCTAGTTTTCCTTGAGGACAGGAAACAGTGCCTTATATTTATTTCCATTGATTCACAATCTGAAGTAGAGGTTGGCAAACTTTTTCCATAAAGGGTCACATAGTATTTTAGGCTTTTCAGGCCATACAGTCTCTGCTGCAACTACTCAACTCTACCATTAAGCACATAAGCAGCCATAGACAATATGTAAATAAATAAGTATAGCTTGTTAGCCAGGCTTGTCTCAAACTCCTGACCTCAAGTGATCCGCCCGCCTTGACCTCCCAAAGTGCTGGGATCACAGGCGTGAGCCACCCGTGCCCAGCCCTACTCTTGCTTTAGACAAATTAAATCTCTCTTTTTTTGTTGTTTTGTTTCTTTTTGAGACGGAGTCTCGCTGTGTCGCCCAGGCTGGAGTGCAGTGGTGCGCTCTTGGCTTACTGCAACCTCCGCCTCCTGGGTTCAAGCGATTCTCCTGCCTCAGCCTCCCAAGTAGCTGGGACTACAGGCATGTGCCACCATGCCCACCTAATTTTTGTATTTTTAGTAGAGACGGGGTTTCACCACGTTGGCCAGGATGGTCTTGATCTCTTGACCTCGTGATCTGCCCACCTCGGCCTCCCAAAGTGCTGAGATTACAGGCATGAGCCACCACGCCCAGCCTTAGACAAATTAAATCTCTTGATATAGTTACTGAGCACCTTATGTTTCCTATCTTGTTTAATAACTAGAAACCCTGGTATTATCTTTTTTTAAATTCAAGTCCATCTGAATTCTACAAATACCTTTATAATGCCTCCCCAAATCATCCCTTCCTCTCTATTTTTACAATCACTATTGAGTACTTTTTTATACTAGCTCAGGCAAAAAGTACTAGTCTAATATTATGCTAACAGAAGTAAGCCAAGCACAAAAGGACAAATACTGAATGATTCAATTTATATGAAATATCTACAATAGGCAAATTCAGAGACAGAAAGTAAATTCGGCCAGGCACAGTGGCTCACACCTGTAATCCCAACACTTTGGAAGGCTGAGGTGGGCAGATCACCTGAGGTCAGGAGTTCAAGACTAGCCTGGCCAACATGGTGAAACCCAGTCTCTACTAAAAATGCAAACAAATACAAAAATTAGCCAGGTGTGGTGGTGGGCACCTGTAGTCCCAGCTACTCAGGAGGCTGAGGCAGGATGATTGCTTGAACCTGGGAGGCAGAGACTGGCCCAAACTGTGCCACTGCATTCCAGCCTCGGCAATAAAGTGAGGCTCTGTCTCAAAGTAATAAAGTAATTAATTAATTAAATTAGAGGTTACCAGGGCTGGAGGGAGGAGAGGGGAATGAGTAATTGCTTAATAGATAAGAATTTCGGCTGGGCGCGGTGGCTCATGCCTGTAATCCCAGCACTTTGGGAGGCCGAGGCAGGCGGATCACAAGGTCGGGAGTTTGAGACCAGCCTGGCCAGCATGGTGAAACTCCATCTCTACTAAAAATACAAAAAATTAGCCGGGCATAGTAGTGCGCGCCTGTAATCCCAGCTACTCGGGAGGCTGAAGCGGGAGAATCACTTGAACCCAGGAGGTGGAGTTTGCAGTGAGCCGAGATCACGCCACTACACTCCAGTTTGGGCAATAGAGTGAGACTGTCTCAAAAAAAGGGGGACTGGGCACAGTGGCTCATGCCTGTAATCCCAGCACTTTGGGAAGCCAGGGCAGGTGGATCACGTGTTCATGAGATCGAGACCATCCTGGCTAACACAGTGAAACCTCATCTCTAATAAAAATAAAAAATAAAAAATAATTAGCCGGGCGTGGTGGCACACGCCTGTAGTCCCAGCTACTCGGGAGGCTGAGGCAGGAGAATCACTTGAACTTGGGAGGCAGAGGTTGCAGTGAGCCGAGATCGCGCAACTGCACTCCAGCCTGGGCGACAGAGCAAGACAGAAAAAACTTCGTATCTACAGTCTTGTTCCTAGACACCCTTCCTGCCTTATCTCCTATTATGTCCCATCACTATACTTGCTGTTCTCCAAAAACATTATTCTTGCATTATTCTTTGCTGTTGCCAAGCCTAAAATGCCCTCTCATTACTGCCTTCTCAAATTCTATTCAGAGCCCAATTCAAATGCCTTCTTAAATGTGGAGTTCTCCCAAACCCTGAAATAAATGTAAATGGTCTCTCTTCAGTGTCTGAAACGCTTGATTAGGTGGACACAGATAATTGGTTTATTAACTGTTTATAAAGTGTGCATATACACTGTATGTACTTTTCTGAATATGAATTATATCTAACAATAAGAAGTATTTAAATAAAAGTTATACTTTTGCAGCCTAATCAAGCCCAGTATTACCTTGACCTACTTTACCCACTAAACTCTTCAAAGGCCCATTTGTGGTAATCTATTTTTCTCAATATGCCGTACATATAACCAATAATTAGTCTGATAAATACTCTCTTTACGGAGTTGACTCATATGAAGACCATCTTGGGCACACTAAAGTATACAGAACTACACATACACACACACACAAATTCACGTATAAATCTGAACAAGCTCTGTGGATTGTACCCATGTCCAATTTTCTCACTTTGTTATTGTACTATAGTTATGCAAGATGTCCAACAGTGGGGGAGATGGGGGAAAGGGTACACAGTGGAGGGTGCATGGGACCTCCCTGTACATCACCCTGCAACTTCCTGTGAGTCTATAATTATTTCAAAATAAAAAGGTGTTCTAATGAGGGTGTAGAGAAATGGATGTTCTTGCTGGTAGTAAAACAGTACAATATGCTAACAATATGCAATATGTAATGAAAGATTCTAAGGATGTTATATCCTTTAATCTAATAAACTTACTTCTACAAATTTATCCTCAGTGTTTACTTGGACACAAAGCCCCAAAGACAGATGCAGGTAGTCCATCACAGCTTATATGTGTATATAACAGAAAACAAACTATCCAGTAGTAGGAGACTGGCCTAACAAATGAGGGTATATCTAAAAAGTAAAATACTATGCAAATCTTCAGACTGATAATGTATGAGACAGAAAGTTATTTGTTACATGATTTGAGAAATGATTCCAAGATAGGTATAGCATCTGATTTTTAAAGACATGTAGTATAGGCATCTATGTGTTGTAGATGCATACAAAAATGCCTAGGTCAATGCCAAATTTTAGGAATTATCTCAGGTTGGTGAAATTAAGAGTGGTTTTTTTTTCCATTTTCAGAGATAGGGTCTCTTTTTTTAGCGCCATCTGCTTGCAGTGCTGCCTCTTGCTCCTCCCCACCACCACTGCTGCCCTGAGTCACTGCCTGCACAGCTCCAGCCGCCTGGCTTCTCATAGTAGCCACTGATATTTGGAGTTCTTACAACATGGCAGACATTGACAACCTGCCTAGCTAGGGTAGTTAAAAGAGGAGTGAATGCTCTCAAAAACCTGCAAGTTAAAGGTGCACAGATAGAAGCCAAATTCTATGAGGAAGTTCACGATCTTGAAAGGAAGTATGCTGTTCTCTATCAGCCTCTATTTGATAAGCAATCTGAGATTACTAATACAATTTATGAACCTACAGAGGAAGAATGTGAATGGAAACCAGATGAAGAAGATGAGATTTCAGAGGAGTTGAAAGAAAAGGCCAAGACTGAAGATGAGAAAAACGATGAAGAAAAAGAAGACCCCAAAGGAATTCCTGAATTTTGGTTACCTGTTTTTAAGAATGTTGACTTGCTCAGTGATATGCTTCAGAAACATGATGAACCTATTCTGAAGCATGTGAAAGATACCAAAGTGAAGTTCTCAGATGCTGGCCTGCCTATGAGTTTTGTCTTAGAATTTCAATTTGAACCCAGTAAATATTTTACAAATGAAGTGCTGACAAAGACATATAGGATGAGGTTAGAACCAGAACCAGATGATTCTGATCACTTTTCCTTTGATGGACAAGAAATTATGGGTTGTACAGGGGGCCAGATAGATTGGAAAAAAGGAAAGAATGTCATTTTGAAAACCATTAAGCAGCAGCAGAAACACTAGGGACATGGGACAATTCGTATTGTGACTAAAACAGTTTCCAATGACTCTTTCTTTAATTTTCTTGCCCCTCCTGAAGTTCCTGAGAGTGGAGATCTGGATGATGATGCTGAAGCTATCCTTGCTGCAGACTTCAAAATTGGTCACTTTTTACGTGAGCATACAATCCCAAGATCAGTGTTATAGTTTACTGGAGAAGCTACTGAAGATGATGATGATGAGTATGATGAAGAAGGTGAAGAAGCAGATGAGGAAGAGGACAAAGGAGATGAGGAAAATGATCCAGACTATGACCCGAAGAAGGATCAAAACCCAGCAGAGTGCAAGCAGCAGTGAAGCAGGATATATGTGGCCTTGAGGATAACCTGCACTGTCCTAGCCTAAACACAATTCTTACTTACTGCCTTATGTTTTTGTATTTTCTTGGTAGACTGGGTAATTTTTGTTTTAAAGGACAGGAAACTGATATTTTAAAGACCAATCTGTTCTACCTAGCATTTTCACTAGTTTTTCTGCCAGGTATGTTGAATGCACAAATTCTGTCACACATGTTCATTCGCTGCTACATAATTTGGTTCTTCTGGAATATTTATATAGCTCTTGGAGTACAGCTATGAAAATTAACAACTGTTAAAGGAAACACTTTTTTTTTTCGTAATTTTTTCCTTGAAGAACCAAAGTATTTTTTCAGCTGTTTGTTGAATAGGGTTAAGTCTGCTTGGATTAGCTGTGCCTTTCATTACTTTGTTACAGAAATGCAGGGACTTGTACTAAGACAATCCATCGTTTAAAAAAAAAAAAAAAACCGGCATGCCAGTCGCGGTGGCTCACGCCTGCAATCCTAGCACTTTGGGAGGCTGAGGCAGGCAGATCACCTGAGGTCAGGAGTTCAACACCAGCCTGACCAACATGGTGAAACCCCGTCTCTACTAAAACACAAAAATTAGCCAGGCATGATGGCGGGTGCCTGTAATCCCAGCTACTCAGGAGGCTGAGATGGGAGAATCACTTGAACCCGGGAGACGGTGGTTGCAGTGAGCTGAGATCGTGCCACTGCACTCCAACCTGGGTGGCTGAGCAAGACTCATCTGAAAGAAAAAAAAATTGGCAAGACAACTATATGGTTAAGAATTTAAGAACTTCCAGTATGACCACACCCAATAACTGTATTAGATTGTTAATGGATTATTGTGTTATAGGTGACATAGTTAACTGTAAAGTAACCTGACTCAGTATAGTTACTGGTACCACAGTGAGGTGAATAAAACAGGATTTTTCAGAAGTTAGCCTGAATTTCACTGTACTTTTAAATTTAACCTCCATTAACTAAGCATCTTTTCTTTGTGGTAGGGTCTACCTTCTGCTTCCCTGGAAAGGATGAACTTACATCATTTGACAAGACCTGTTTTCAAGTTATTTGTTGTTTGTTTGCTTGTTTTTGTAGCCTAAAATAAAAATTTCAAATACAATTTTAGTTCTTACAAGATGTCTTAATTTTGTACCAATTCAGGTAGAAGGAGAGGCCTAGCTTGAATTAAGGGTTATACTCAGTTTTTACCACATTATTGAAAAGGGTACCAGCTTTGGAAAGAGATACTATACTAATAAGCAAGTGTAAAAAAAAAGAAGAAGAAGAAGAAAATCTTCAGTGATACGATGCTTTAAAAAAAAAAATTAAAGTTCATTTTCTTTGGGGTAGAGCTAGAGAGAATGCCCCAAGCTTCTGTGTGGTTTCTTCTAATTCTTATTGCTTGAAGTATGAGTATGTCACTTACCCATGCTTCTGTTTACTATGTATTAAAATGTGTAGTACTGTTTACTTAACTACCTCATGGATGTGTTAAGGCATATTCAGTTAAATCTCATAAAATGTTTCTCATTCTCATTAAAAGCTCACATTTTGGGCCTATTTGTAATGCCAGTGTTGACACTCAGCATTTTGTTCACACCATGCTTTGACAACTAAACTGGAAAACAGTTATCAAACTAAACTATCAGTTAGTGATCTTTGTGTGGCTTCTATATATATTATTATATATATTATTATTTTTTATATATATATTAAATATTTAATTTATATTTAATTAATATAATTTATATATATATATATATATATATATATTTTTTTTTTTTTTTTTTGGAGATAGAGTCTCTCTCTGTTGCCCAGGCTGGAGTGCAGTGGTGCGATCTCAGCTCACTGCAACCTCCACCACCTGGGTTCAAGCGATTCTCCTGCCTCAGCCTCCTAAGTAGCTGGGATTACAGGCACGTGCCACCACGCCCAGCTAATTTTTGTATTTTTAGTAGAGATGGGGTTTCACCATATTGGCCAGGATGGTCTTGATCTCTCGACCTCGTAATCTGCCTGCCTCAGCCTCCCAAAGTGCTGGGATTACAGGCGTGAGCCACTGCGCCTGGCCAATGTGGCTCCTATTTTTATAGAAGTAGATGGATGCACTATTTCACAAGGTCCAACAATTTTTTTCTGTATGACTGCATAGTAGTAAATACTACAGGGATAGCACATAGTATTGTAGTCATGAGATTAAAGTAGAGATAAGACTATTTTTGACAAAAGATGCCATTAAATTTCAGACTGTAGTGCCACATTTACAATACCTCAGGCTAATTACTGTTAATTTTGAGGCAACTTTCTTTTGACGATGGCGAGGGTGGACTATTGGATTGTCATTAGAGGAAGGTCTAGATTTCCTGCTCTTAACAAAATTACATTGAATTCATTTTTAGAGGTGATGAAAACTTCCTTTTTGAGAAGTTAGTGTTCAGGTCTTGGAATGTGAACACATTGTTTGTAATGCTATCCATTCCTCTCCTGAGATTTTAACTTACTACTGGAAATCCTTAACCAATTATAATAGCTTTGTTCTATTTTCAAAATCATTTCCTTTGCTTTGATTAGACACTCTGTTTTTTTGTTTGTTTTGGTAGCCGTAGTTCATCTAAATGCAGCTTTTTCTGAACTTTAAAGATAGAATCCCTGTTTTTTTTTTTTTTTTTTTTTGAGACAGAGTCTTGCTCTGTTGCCCAGGCTGGAGTGCAGTGGCACCATCTCGGCTCACCACAACCTCCGCCTCACGGGTTCAAGCAATTCTCCTGCCTCAGCCTCCCAAGTAGCTGGGATTACAGCTGCCCACCACCACGCCCGGCTAGTTTTTGTATTTTTAGTAGAGATGGGGTTTCACCATGTTAGCCAGGCTGGTCTTGAACTGATGTCAGGTGATTCACCCGCCTCAGCCTCCCAAAGTGCTGGGATTACAGGCATGAGCCACTGTGCCTGGCCAGAATCCCATTTTTAACGAACTGAGGTAGCAAAATAATCTTTTTCATTCTTTTAGGAAATAGTTATTGCCAAAGTGAAGGTGTCGATAATACCTGGTCTTGTTATATAATGGGGATGTGGTTTGCAGAAGAATTTTCTTTATAAAATTGAAGTTTCAAGGGATATCAGTGTTTATGCCATTTTTCCAGTTCCAAAATTATTCCATTCCATTCTAGAAATCTGAAGTATGTAACTTGAAATCCTTAATAAAATTTGGATTCAATTAAAAAAAAAAAAGGATGGAATTTCAATATGTTGCCCAGGCTGGACTTGAACTCCTGAGCTCAAGGAATTCTCCTACCTCAGCCTTCTGAGTAGCTGGGACTACAGGTGCACACCAACATGTAATTTTGTTTTTATGTTTTATTTTTACTTATCTGCATTTTCTAATTTTTGTGAGCAATTATACTGTGTGTACTAAAGAAACAAACACTTTAAAAGCTAAATTATTTTTAAATACTTATTAAAATATTTAATACTTATTAAATACTTATAAAAATAAGTAAATACTTATAAAATATTAAAATATTTAAAAATATGTGACAATTTTACTTTGCTTTATATCATTTACAAAGCATATTTTCACACAACCAGACATCATCCTATTATCTCTACAAAGTTATATTTTTGTTTTATAGAAAATAAATCTTAATCAGATAATCTGAGCTGAAGTCATCTTCACAAAAGGAAAAGTGACCTAGCAATCTAGGTAACCAAATCTACAGAAAAATTTCTTACTTACAGCTCCGAAGTTTCAATATATTTTGCAGTTCCTTCAATAGTGTTACAATATTCTGTGGCAAATTTGGTAATAAGTTGGAGTAAAGTAGCACTTTTATCATCCACGGGTTCACCGTAGCTATTTAGAAGAGACTGATACTGAGCAGCTAGAACATTTATTCTTGTTTTCAACTCTGGTAAACAATCTCTGATGTGATGCATCAGTAACCTAAAAAAGGTTAGAAAGGAAGGATTTAAAAGTAAAATTGTGTATTCTAAAGCCCTAAACAAGTCAAATTTTTACAATGGGGAAAACCTATCAAATAATTTGTCCTGGCAAATGTGATACTGTGAAATATATATTTGGTCTTTGTCTTCATTTCCTGGCAGTCAGCTCCTAAAATCCTTGGACTCTCCAAGAGCATTAAGGGTGTTTAGAGTGTCTCTGCATGCTAATGAGATGACTGGTGGCTGGGGGTCCCTAGATAGCTTCAGGATGGGAGCTGGTCACCAGAACAGCCTCAGAAGAGAGGAGAGAGGCCAAACATTGAGCTGATCACCAATGGCCAATGAAGCTTCCATAAAAACTCAAAAGGACACAGTTCATGGAGTCTTCAGAGAGTTGAACACATGAAGGTTCCTGGAGTGTGGTGTGCCCAGAGAGGGCACGGAAGCTCCACATTCCTTCCCACATGCCCAGCCCTGTGCATCTCTTCATCTGGCTATTTATCTATATCCTTTGTAATATGCTTTACAGTAAGTGGGTATATGCTAAGTAGTGTTTCCCTGACCTCTGTGAGCCACTCTAACAAATTCATCAAACATGAAAAGGGGATCATGGGTACCCTGACTTATAGCCTGTCAGTCAGAAACACAGGCTACAACCTGTGCTTACAACTGGCATCTGACTTGGGGGCAGTCTTGTGGGACTGAACCCTCAACCTGTGGGCGCTGACACTATCTCCAGGTAAACAGTGTTAGCATTGAATTAAAGGACATTCAGCTAGAATCCCCTGGAGAATTCCTTGCTTGATGTATGGGGAAAACTCCCCATATATCTGCTCTCAAAAGCATTCTGTGCTATACTGATTAACTGTGTGTGAAAAGGAAAAAAACAATTTTGATTGGTTTTTCCTAAATAATAAAAGCAAGGAAAAAATGCAAATTATTTTCATATTACTGCAATTACCACAGAGAAAATAAGCCACCCAATCAATTCTTCCTATATAATTTTGGTTTCATTGACTTGTCATTTACAATTGGTACCCAGCAAAGTGAAAATCAACCTTATTAAGATCCAAGTCTATCAGTCTTTAGGGAATAAGATAAAAGTAAGAGAAAATGGCTTCCACTTCAGTCATTTATAAATCATCTAGAAAGGGCTTCTAGTCCCCACACATCAGTGGGTATTCAGAATCCAACGTATAGTTATTTCTACAGTGAATAGAAATAAAAGACATTCTATTTCTTTGTTTTTCCATCTCCCTTTCCTGGTAAATAAAACACATTCTAAGGTAAGAATAGATAATGTGAAAATTACAAATTTTAATCAGTTCCTGAAATGCAAAGTGGAAATGAAGTCATCTCTAGTTCTAGCCACAAAACTAAATTAACTGTCAAAATTTTCGTAATTAAAACATTTTAAAATCACTTGTACATTCATTCTAGACTACGTGATGATGTAATGTCAACCACCCCAATAAAAACAGAGACATCTACTCTTCAGGAACCTACTATATAAGAAACCATAAGTGAAGCTGTTAGGAACAGTATGAAAATGTAAGGAACTGAAAATGAACCCTCTCAGACACCAATTGGTAAAAACAAACACATCTCATTTCCAAAAGGTAAAAAAATTACCTGTTTAGAGTCCTAGCAAGATACTTTGTTCCATTTCTATTGGCCAGAGATGGATATTTCTTTTGAAGAAAAGCATACTCATCACGGATTGAATCAGTTACACTCTTCTTGTTGTTAATATCTAGCTGGCTCCTGAGGTTGAAAAAATAACGAAACTATTCAGCTTAACTGTTGTCCTCTTCCTACCTTAGATGATGACAGCACCAGGCATTGTTCTCTAATACCTGACAGGGACTGTTTTATTTAATTCTCACAATAATTTTATGTGGCAGGTATTATTACCCCATTGTATAGCAAGGAACTGAGGCTCACAAAAACTAACTTACCCCAGGTCACACACTAACTGGCATAGCCAAGACTTGAACTAAGTGAATTGTAAGTAACTAGTGCCTAAATAGAGTAGGCCTCATTATTACCATTAACTATAGACAAAAACAATAAGTAACAGGTATAGACAGGTATAAAAATATAAGAGTATCTTAGTCAACTGTATATTTTATCCATGGACAGGGAACTAATTTCTCCCAAAAATAATTAAGTTAACTTGAAGAACAATCATCTACAAACAACGAACAGTGTTAGGCCACCTCCTTACCTGAAAAAGGAGACAGCTGGAATTGGGAGTGGGGATGGGAGAATGACAGTGGGGATGGGAGAATGACAGTAGGGTTGGAATGGAAGGACATTAAAATAGAAGCAGACAACTGGAATGGATCTTATGTATCAGGCAGTAAAAACATTTTCATTTTCTAAAGGCTTGAGACCCAAAGACATTAGGTGTCATTTAAACCTACGTTGTATCTAGTTTATGTAAGAACTAGGACTATAACTCAGATTTCATGATAATTTCAGTGTTTCCTACCATATGAAGGCTTTGGACTAAAAGAGATATTCATCCGAATCCAGCTCTTTCACTACCCACGTGACTTTTGGTTAAATGTATAACCTGAGGTTTCTGATTATAAAATAGACATCAACACCTACCTCAGGGGATGCTGTGAGGATTCCAAGAGATACCATTTGCAAATTGCTCACAGTAGAGTGTCTAAAACGTAATTAGACACTCAATAATAATTTCCTTTTCCCGATTTTTAATACCAACTATTTATAATTAGGATACCTTTAATAAAATTTCTCCAAGTCACATCCTGGCAATTACACAGAATCACTAATGCTAGGGATTAAACCAATCTATTAAAATCTTGTCACCTTTAATTAGACACTCAATACTAGTTTCCTTTTCCCAGTTTTTAATACCAACTATTTATAAATTAGGATACCTTTAATACAATTTCTCCAAGTCACATCCTGGCAATTACACAGAAGCATCACTAATGCCAGGGATTAAAACCAATCTATTAAAATCCTGCCACCTTAAACTCTTTCTCGATTGGGTGCACATTAGATAATTTTTCCCTTACCCAGTACCTCCTCATACATAGCTTAACATGATAGGCAAGAATTCTTAAAGCCTGGCTATTACAACATTTCTTCCATTTTGTGGTATTGCTTACTTTAGAAACATTTTCCAGTAAAAATGTCTATGGGGCAGGCACAGTGGCTCATGCCTGTAATCCCAGCACCTGGGAAACCAAGGTTGGAGGATTGCTTGAGCCCAGGAAGTCGAGACAAGCCTGGGCAACATGGCAAGACCTTGTCACTACAAAAAAATTTAAAATTAGCCAGGTGTGGTGATACACACCTATAGTCTCAGCTACTTGAAAGGCTGAAGTGAAAGGATCACTTGAGCCCAGAGGTTGATGCTACAATGAGCCACAATCACGCCACTGCATTCCAGCCTAGGCAACAGAGAGAGACCCTATTTCAAAAAAAAAAAAAAATTCTCTCTCTTTTCTCCCTTTAGGGCAACGGATTCTTTAGCAATACCAAGATCATAATAAAAGGGAGAAAAAATATAGTACAGCATCACATTTCAAACAGATTTTAGAAATTCAGACTTGCTCTGAAGTGAGAATGCTTATCCCATTCTAAGAATGCTTATCCCAATTCTTATCCCATTCTAACTGCTAACCTGTTAACTACTCCAATTATTCCAAGTTTGACTGGAATAACCCTTCCCATCAATACATCCATGGCATCAGTACCCGCATCCATGAGATCAAGTTTAGTGATTACAGCTAGGGTTCTGCGACCTGGTAAATGCAAAAAGAAAAAAGGGCAAAGAAAAGAAAGAAAATGATCCATTAAATACAACTATTTAGTGTTAATAAAGGAAAACCCTCATCTACAATCCCACTTAGTATTACCTCTGTCATCATTTTGGTAATGCCTTACTTACCAGTGCTTTTTTAAAAATAATGTTAAACATTGTGTATAATTTTTTAAAACATTTTTGCCGGGCACGGTGGCTCACACCTGTAATTCTAGCAGTTTGGAAGGCCAAGGCGGGTGGATCACCTGAGATCAGGAGTTTGAGACCAGCCTGACTAACATGGTAAAACCCCATCTCTACTAAAAATACAAAAATTAGCCAGGCACAGTGGCAGACGCCTGTAATCCCAGCTGCTCGGGAGGCTGAAGCAGGAGAATTGCTTGAACCCGAGAGGCAGAGGTTGCAGTGAGCTGAGATCGTGCCATTGCACTTCGGCCTGGGTGACAGAGCAGGACTCCATCTAAAATATATATATATACTATACATATAAAATATATATACTATATTATATATAAAATATATATAGTATATATATAAAATATGTATAGTATATATATAAAATATGTATAGTATATATAGTATGTATAGTATATATTTATAATATATATACTATATATATTATATATACTATACATACTATATATACTATATATAATATATATACTATATATACTATATTTTATATATATATAAAATATATACTATATTTTATATATATACTATATATAGTATATATAAATATATATAGTATATACTATATATAGTATATTTATAAAATATATATAGTATATACTATATATATTTTATAGTATATATATTTCAGTTACAAATATATATATCTACCTAGGTATATATATTTTTTATATATATATCTACCTAGGTATATGTATTTTTTATATATATATCTACCTAGGTATATGTATTTTTTATATATATATCTACCTAGGTATATGTATTTTTTATATATATATCTACCTAGGTATATGTATTTTTTATATATATATCTACCTAGGTATATGTATTTTTTATATATATATCTACCTAGGTATATATATTTGTAACTGAAAAATGCCATAGGTAAAATTGTACACTATGCAGAGCAGGACTCCGTCTAAAATATATATATATACTATATATATATAATATATATACTATATATTTAAAATATATATAGTATATATTTAAAATATATATAGTATATATTTAAAATATATATTATATATTATATATACTATATATTATATATAGTATATATATTATATATACTATATATAATATATAGTATATATAAAATATATAGTGTATATATAATATATAGTATATATAAAATATATAGTGTATATATAATATATAGTATATATATACTATATATACTATATATAAAATATATATAATATATACTATATATTTTATAGTATATATAAATATATATAGTATATACTATATATATTTTATAGTATATATATTTCAGTTACAAATATATATACATAGGTATATATATAAAATATATATAAATATATAAAATATATATATAAAATATATATATATACCTATGTATATATATTTGTAACTGAAAAATACCATAGGTAAAATTGTACACTATGCAGAGCAGTTGGAACTCTCACACGTTGCTGGTGGGAGTGGTGTAGTCATTTTGGGAAACAGTCTGGCAGTTTCTTATAAAGTTAAATTAGCAGTCCCATTCCTAGGTGTTTAACCATGTTAAGTGAGAACCAGTGTTCATATAAAAAACTATATGCAAATATCTACAGCAGCTTTATTCATAATTTTCAAAAACTAGAAACAACTCACATATTTCTCAGATGGGTAGTGAAATACCTATGGTATTTTCAGTTACTATATATATATATATATATATACTATATATAGTGTATATATACTCTATATATAGTATATATATAAAATAGATTTTTTTCACATGTAATTTTTTGTTGACTCTTAGGGCTATTTTGTAAGCATTTCAAAAATCTGTATAAAATTTACATCCAGGTGATATGGCCCATGCCTGTAATCCTAACACTTTGGAAGGCCAAGGCAGACAGATTGCTTGAGCCCAGGAGTTCGAGACCAGTCTGGGCAAAGTGGTGAAACTCTGTCTCTACAAAAAATAGAAAACGTAGCAGGGTGTGGTAGTCCTAGCTACAGGTGAGGCTGAGGTGGGAGAATCACCTGAGCCCAGGTCAAGGCTGCAGTGAGCCGTGATTGCACCACTGCACTCCACCCTGGGCAACAGAATGAGACCCTGTCTCAATAAACAAAAAATAAAAATATTTACTCTTTTTTGGTGTACAGTTCTAAGAGTTTTGACAAATGCCAAGAGATATGTCACAACCAACTCAAGACATTGCCACCCCCCCCCACCAAATTTTCTTATGCTAACCAATCAAACCAGTTTTCCATTCCTAGTTTTGCCTTTTCTAGAGTGTTATATAAACGAAATCAGATAGTACATAACCTTTTGAGTCTGGCTTCTTTCATTTAGCATAATGCATTTGAGATTCATCCGTGTTCTTGTATATTAATAGTCCATTCCTTTTTATTGCAGAGTAGTGTCCCATTGTATGGAATGTACCATACTTTAGTTTCACTCCCCATCTGAGGAATATGTGAGTTGTTTCTAGTTTTTGAAAATTATGAATAAAGCTGCTGTAGACATTTGCATATAGTTTTTTATATGAACACTGGTTCTCACTTAACATGGTTAAACACCTAGGAACGGGACTGCTAATTTAACTTTATAAGAAACTGCCAGACTGTTTCCCAAAATGACTACACCACTCCCACCAGCAACGTGTGAGAGTTCCAACTGCTCTGCATAGTGTACAATTTTACCTATGGTATTTTTCAGTTACAAGCATTTTTCTTTTTTTTTGAGACTGTCCTACTCTGTTGTCCAGGCTGAAATGCAGTGGCACAATCTCGGCTCATTGTAACCTTCGCCTCCACAGTTCAAGTGATTCTCATGTCTCAGCCTCCCCAGTAGCTGGGACTACAGGCATGCACCACCATGCCTGGCTAATTTTTGTATTTTTAGAGAGATGGGGTTTCACCATGTTGGTCAGGCTGCTCTGGAACTTCTGGTCTCAAGCGATCCGCTCACCTCAGCCTCCCAAAGTGCTGGGATTACAAGTGTGAGCCACCATGCCCAGCCTACAAGCATTTTTCTGTACTGCTACAAATCTACAAAATCATCCTTTTTAATTATTTCATATTTTATTATTATAATTTACTTAATCTTTCCAACTGCTGGCCATATTAAGTTGTTTCTAATTTTTTATACTATAAATAATACTGGGCTGGATTATTTCCTTATGATGTATTACTAGATTATGATTAGTAATCAAACCAGGTGCAGTGGCTCACTCTTGCAATCCCAACACTTTGGGAGACTGAGGTGGGAAGATCACTTGAGCCCAGGACTGCAAGTTTGCAGTGAGGCATGATTGTGCCACTGCACTCCAGGCCTGGGCAACAGAGTGAGACCCTACATCCAAAAAAAAAAAAAAAAGATTAGATTAAAAATATGACAATATCTATGGCTCAAGGGTCAGTTTAAAATAGAGTTTATACATATAAAATGCTTAACAGGTTTTTGTTTGTTTTTTACGAAGGTCTGGCTCTGAGCCCAGGCAAGAGTGCAATGGCATGATCTCGGCTCACTGCAACCTCTGCCTCCCGGGCTCAAGCCATCCTCCCACCTCAGCATCCCAAGTAGCTAGGACCACAGCCCAGTGCCACCATACCCAGCTAATTGTTTTTTGTGGTTTTTTTTTTTTAATAGAGATGGGGCTCTCACTTTGCTGCCCAGGCTGGTCTCGAACTCCTGAGCTCAAGTGATCCACCCACCTTGGCCTCCCAAAGTGCTTGGTATTACGGGCATGAGCCACTGAGCCCAGTCTACTTTAAATAATAAAAATAAAATGTAAATAAACTCTTTGATATAGTTTATCTTTTAATTTAACTGAAATGAACATTATTTACTCAAGTGGTAAAAAAGAGTTTCTTAAAAACTTGAAATATAAAATATTGGGGCCAAGCACGGTGGCTCACACCTGTAATCCCAGCACTCTGGGAGGCCGAGGCGGGCGGATCACGAGGTCAGGAGATCGAGACCATCCTGGCTAACACGGTGAAACCCCGTCTCTACTAAAAATACAAAAAATTAGCCAGGCGTGGTGGCAGGCGCCTGTAGTCCCAGCTACTCAGGAGGCTGAGGCAGGAGAATGGCGTGAACCCGGGAGGCAGAGCTTGCAGTGAACCGAGATCGCGCCACTGCACTCCAGCCTGGGAGATAGAGCAAGACTCCATCTCAAAAAAAAAAAAAAAAAAAATTGTTAAAGTGACCCTGCTTATGGGAATTTTTATTGGCAGATTGGCAGTCTTAGCACTATTTCCTATCAAATTTTTATTTGAAATTATTCTTCAAAGCAGGGAAAGAAAAACATGACACAACCTTCAGACCCTCTGAATAGTAAGGTGAAAAAAATGGTTTCTATATGAGGCCATGCATACATTTGTTAGCAACAATAGTAACCACTCTCTTACAAGCTAGCATTTTATATATACTATGAGATGTGCACTACATCATTAGTCAAGCATCAGTGACCCACAGTATGAACTAATCCTTGGGGCTAAAATGCTTCATGAAAGGATTTTACCTTCATTTCTAAAAATCCCCTGTGCCTTGAGCATGTCTAAATATTATCTACCTCTGCAGAATGTAGATACCATAATTCTCTACTGTACCATAATAATCTACAATGATTACCTACTGTGTTTTGGTTTTTTTTAACAGACAGAGTCTATGTTGCCCGGGCTGACTTTGAACTCCTGGCCTCACGCAATGCTCCCATCTCAGCCTTCTGAGTAGCTGGGACGGCAGGCACATGTGACCACACCTGGCTATGTTATTTATTCTTAAAAGTCAACTATTCAAATACCTAGGTCACAAAACAAGAAATCCTTTTTGCAAAGCCACCGTATTATTTTTAAATTATTAGGTAACCATTACAAATAAAGTTGTAAAATATTTTCGCCTAGTCTGTATAGCAACTTAATAACCTTATTTTCCATCAGAATTTCTATTTTTATAAACAAAAATAGGAAAGCATTATCTTTTAAATTTGTATTCAAAACCAGAGATACTGTTTTTAAAGAGAAAAATTCCTTTCTCAAGGGTAGATTTACCATTGTAAAATAAGCATCTCATTAAATTAACATCTGTCCTTACCATCTGGATCTACCTCTCTTGAAATTTTAAGTGCCTCTGATGTTGCCATATCTGTATTAGCAGCAGTGACAGCGAGGATAATGGAATTAGGATTACTGATGAACCGAAGAATGAGCTCTCTGATTTGAAGCTCAATATCCTTAGGTTGATCACCTACAGGCACCTAAACCAAACAGAGATGAGCAAGGAACTAATAATTAAAAATCAACTCAGCTTTTTTACCCACATTTAATCGATAGAATATAGGTATATCCATTTAAAAATAGTTAAAATAAAAATAAAGACATTACTAATATACTACAATGGTATTTATGAATCTGGTAATGTGTCAAGTCTCAAAGTGTAACTCTTGCAAATATCAAAAGTTGATTTAATACAGTCCCATGTTAAGAACTGGTCAATGTTGATTGGCTAGATACAAATTCATTCACTCATTCATTCAATTACCAAGTGTTTACTGGCAGCCTACTCTATTTTAGGCACTTTTCTGAACGTGATTTCAGGTCATGTCAGATTATGTTACAGTAGTGAATTTTAAAAAGACCAAACTTTCTGCCTTCGTAGAACTTATGTTTTAGTAATAACACGCATATAATAAACAAAAACATATATATAGTATACAGATGGTGGTAAGGGCTGTGGGAAAATAAGGCAGAACAGCAGGCTAGGGAATGATTAGAGATGATTTTTTTCTTTTTTTTTTTTTTTTTTTTTTTTTTTTTGAGACAGGGTCTCACTCTATCACATAGGCTGGAGTGCAGTGGTGCGATCATAGCTCACTGTATCTTCAAACTCCTGGGCTCAAATGATCCTCCTGCCTCAGCCTCCCAAAGTGCTAGAACTACAAGCATAAGCCACTCTGCACCTGGCCATTAGGATTATGATTTTAATGTTTTAAATTGGATTATGTTTTTAAATAGAGTAATCAGGGAAACTTCACTGAGACAACTGACACTTAAGAGAATGAGCAGAAATTAAGCCAATAAGGGAGCAATAACATACAGACATCTGGGGGAAGAAATTCCAAAGAGAGTGAACAATAAGGGCAGGAGGCTGAAGCAACAGGAGTTAGGAGAAGAATAGGGACGTAACAAGTAGATATTTTAGACCTCTGTAATAACTTGGGCTTTTAGTGAAATGGGAGAGGTTTTAAGTCAAGGAATGACAAGGAACTGGAGAAGTTTTGAGCCAAGAAATGACACAATCGAATTTTCACTTTAATCGTATCACTGTCTACTAAGATGAGATCACAAGGACGACCTATTATTGATTATTGTGCAGTAATCCAGGTAGCATGATAGTGGCTAGATCAGGACAGTAAATATGAATTTATAAAACACGATTGAGTTCTGGATATACTGTAAAGGTAGGAAGAGCCAAGAGGATTTGCTGGCAGGAAGTGGAATGTGGGATAAATTAGTGTCAAGGATGACTACAAACTCTGGCTAAGCAATTGGTAGAATGGAGTTGCCATTTATTTATTTATTTAGAGACAGGGTCTCACTCTGTTGGCCAGGTTGGAGTGCAGTGATGCAATCATAGCTCACCGTAGCCTCAAATTCCTAGGCTCAAGCAATCCTCTTGCCTCAGCTGGGACTACATGTGTGCACCACCATGCCCGACTAATTTTTGTATTTTTTGTAGAGACGTGGTCTCCCTATGTTGCCCAGGCTGGTCTCAAACTCCTGGTCTCAAAGAATTCCTCCCACCTTGATCTCCCAAAGTGCTGGGATTACAGGATAAGCCACTGCACCAAACAGAGATGGCCAAGGAACTAACAATTAAAAATCAACTCAGCTTTTTTATGAGTTGCCAATAAATGGCATGAGTTGCCATTTATTGCGATGGGGGAAGACTATAGAAATACCAAATCTAGTTGAGGAACAGGTCAGGAATTCGGTATTAGAGTTTGAAATGTCTATTAGACATTTAAGTGTATATGTCGAATAGCAACTAGATATACAAGTCTGGAGATATTTGAATGCCGTCAATATACAGAGCCTTACGTAGTTAAAGCCATAAAATCTGATGAAATCATCAAAGGGAAAGTGTACCTAGAGAAAACGAGAGTTCCATAAACTGAGCTCTGGGGCACTTACTGTTTAGACATTGGGGAGATGAGAAGAAACAGCAAAAGAGACTGAAAAGGAGTGGCCAGTGAGACTGGAGATAAACCTGTAGAGTGTGGTATCCTGGAAGCCAAGTAAAGAAAGTGTTTCAAGGAGAAAGGAGGGCTCAACGTTATCAAATGCTGCTAACAGATCAAAGTGATTGCAAAAAGAAGCTGATTATTCTCATATGGGATGTCAACGAAGTGAAAACAACCTGACCAAATCTACAACTATTCCTTCCTTACCTTGGTCATTCCTGGCAAATCCACAAGTGTCAAATTGACAACGTTGGGTGAAAAAATCTTAAGATGAATTGGTTCAGGGCTTACTCCCTAAAAATAAATTTTAAAATATATTAAAATTTCAATGAACTATGAAGTAATAAACTTCATTTCAAGTACATAGACATTAATGCTTTTAAAAATGAATTAAATCATGATTCCTAAAACTTTTTTTTAACAATCAAAACCTGATGAAACACATGGGAAGTCAGGTAGCCAGCCATATTAACAGGTTATAATCCTACTTCTATCCCTGTATCATGTTATATGTACATGTATTATATACCATGTATTATTTTACATTCTTTTCTCTTGATTATAAACATAAATTTTTCCTTTGCTTTCTTTTTTTTTTTTTTTTGAGACAAGGTCTCACTCTGTCACACAGGCTGGAGTGCAGTGGTGCAATCATGGCTCACTGCAGCCTCAAAATCCTGGGCTCAAGCAATCTCTTGCCTTAGCCTCCTGAGTAGCTGGGACTACAAGGTGTGCACCACCATGTCCAGATAATTTCTTGTTTATATTTTGTAGAGACCGGGTATTACAATGTTGCCCAGGCTGGCATATGCCATTCCTTAAATATGTTTAATAGATTTAGTGCTGAATAAAAGAATAATGTATTCCTCACTATCCAAATTTATGAGGTTCCGAGTTCAGAGAGTAAGGCGTAGATAACAAGTTGTCCAAATCAGCCTGGTTCCTGATCTTTGAATATCAAGTGGCAAGAATGTGTACAGTAAGAGATTTCTCAAGAAGTTTATCTAACTCTTTAATCTCTAGTAAGAATTTGGATAGTGAGAGGTAACGTGTATTTTCTCTCCTGCAGACTAAGAATACTGCGTAGGCTCCCTCCTCTTCACCACTGGCCCTCTACAAGTATTAGGATTGAATCAACTACATGTAAAAAGACACTTATGAGATGTTTATACCCTGTCTTTGTACATGCCCTTCTTTAGCCTTTAATATATCCTCTCATCACCTGTTTAACTACCTTATGTTTTCCCTCATTAGCCCACTGAAAATTCTAATTTCCCAGCAAGTTTTTAATATCCTTTACTCCACATTCCCTATACAATTATATTTGCTATTTTAGATTACTCTGTGCTATTTTTCCATTATAAATACTCCAGTGTTCCAAAGCCAACAAATGTCACTATCTGGCATACCTACTTAGGTTGTATATTTCTCAGGATCTTTATTGCCATGGCATTCCCCTATCAGTCCAATACAAAGCTCTGCCCAGTACCTTTGCAACTCCAAACTCACAGACATTTTAAATCCTTCAGGGCTATATGTTAGGCATATGCAGTCATTTACATATTTTGACATAAAAATTATATAAGATCAAAATATCATTTACTTCATTACATACGTGATTTGGGAAAGAAGAGATGTTTCATAGATTTGGGGTTGGGGGACTTTTCATCTTTTAGACACTGTGGATGAAAAGCTGCTAGGTAAGTAAATTATATCCTCAACATAAATTAAACATCTTGTAGGTATAGACTCAATCTTCAATGACATTCAGTTTAGTGTAACTAAAAACATTTCTGAATCATCACAACACTCTAAATTCTGGTACTGTGTAAAATTACCACCAATTGCTGAGTTCAGTAAGTAAATGGGGACTGTAGGAGAGAGAATTCAGACTGATGTTATGATCAATAACATTCCAAAAGCCAAAAATATCCCTGATATAATTAGAGGAATGACGATAAGCTAATCTAGTTTCTGGCCACTTTTTCAACCCGTTCTATACAACATGGTTACTAGAAATTCAGGAAAGTATGGCAACAGTAGCAGTAGCTCAAAGGTAACCAGCCTAGAGTTCAACAATGAACAAAGCTCAGTCAGTCACTGTAACAGCAACAAATATCCTGAACAGTCATAAAGGTTAACATGACTCTAAAAATGCCTTTCTGTCAGGAAATAATCTTTTAGCATAGTAACTGGCAGATACAAGGATTCAATATTTGTTGAATATTAGTACTAGGCTAGGGCCCACTTGTGGGATTAAATGTGCCTCTGGATAATATAAGAATGGAGCTAAGAACAAAAAGGAAGGGAAATAAAAATCTCAAGAGATAATATATATCTCTTGAAATATAAAGAGAAAAATAATAGGAATAAAGAAGACAGAAGACAGCAGGATTCAGGCAAGGCAGTGATAGTACCTAGTGTCAAGATTAACAGTATCTTAGATACATAACTTACTTCACATTCTCACAATCTCAGAAAATAAGAAAACCAGTTGCTAATGTATTATTTTCATTTTCACTAAAAAAAAGAAAAAAAAATTCCCAATTTGTCTCTTTTTGCTTTCATAAGCAAATCTAGCCATACACAGGTAAGAAAAGAACTCCTCAAAAGATATATATATAAGTGAAACAATGCTTCCTGAGTTAGAGTACAATCAATCCATCAGAAAAAGATAACTTATTGTAGCAATACTAAGTAGAATTATATAATAATGTGGCATGTACATGACAGGAACAACAATAAACATCTAAATAAAATATTTGATTTATATGAAAGCTTTAAGAAAGAAAAGGGATTTTAAGCAAAGTTCTATATATCTGTGAAAATACTCCATTTGTTTCAAAGTCCATTATGAATTTACAATGTCCATCGCTTCTCGGCCTTTTGGCTAAGATCAAGAGTAGGAATTTACAATGCCCTTCACATATTATGTACAGAATACCTCAATTATATATTTACTGATGCTTATGCCTTCTAGCTCTAAAAAGATGCCTACCTTATTATTTCCTGAAATTCTTTCTGTTTCATTTTCAATTTCTTGTCGAATTTCATCAAAATCCGTGTAAAGCTAAAAATTTTTGAAATAAAAAAGCATAATATTCAAAATAAGATCAAAAGTTCTTAAGCTGGAGGGGGAGTCCATATACTTCAAGGATGTCTATGTATTTGCTTCAGAAAATAAATAAAATTCTAATGTATACATATTTTCTGAGCTAAGGATTTATAGTTTTTTTATGAGTTTTTTTCTGTTTGGCTTTTTTTTTTTCTTTGAGAGAGGGTCTGACTCTGTCACCCAGACTGGAGTACAGTGGCACAATCACGGCTCACTGCAGCCTCAACCTCACATCCTCAAGCCATCCTCCCGACTCAGCCTTCCAAGTAGCTAGGACTACAGGTGCATGCCACCACGCGGGGCTAATTTTTTTTAGTTTTTATAGAGACAGGGTCCCCCTATATTGCCTAGGCTGGACTCGAACTCCTGGGCTCAAGTGACCCACCCACTTTAGCCTCCCTAAGTACTGGGATTACTTGCATTAGCCACTATGCCTGGCCATTACGAACTTTTCAAAGCTTCCTGATCCCACAACAATTAAGAATCACCAAATCACAGAGAAAATCGGCCTCAATTTCAAGTGTTTTCCAATAAACAATTGTGGTTAGAAATGTTACTAAGATTTATTTTATAAGGAATAGTTATAGTTACTTTAAAATAACGTAATTGCCAATGATTAGAAACTAAATTATCAAGTATTCATACAATATATTTTTTTCAACATTATTTCTTCATTATATGCATGTGTGATTACCTTATTTTTGGTGTGAAGAAATTTACCCCATTCTTCTGCTTCCACCCCTGGAAAAAAGAAAAACTCATTTATTGGAAACTATGGAAACTACTTTTTATCTTTAGGAATTCAAAAAGGCAACATAATAAAACACTTCTTAACTTGTATTTAATTTTGCCATTAAGTACAAGTTAACAAGTATTTTAAGGTCTGCTAAATTATATTTTTCTAAAATTGTATTTTCTGCTAAATTATATTTTAAAAATTGTATGGTGTATTTCAAAAACATGACCAACTTCAGGCAGAGCTGCTCACAGGTCTTCCCACTAGTTGAAATCTAGATTTTGCAAATAAAATTGTTTATTTCTCTTCATATTTTTTTGTGTAGTTATATTACAGTAAAAGGAATATTCTTTAGTTTTGAAAATCTTACATATAAAAGCAGTTTTCTGACGAAAATAAAGTTAGTAGCTAAGAAGAAAAATTAAGAATCCCACTGAGTAGTGCAAAAAACATATGTAACAGATGTACACATATGACTCAAGGAAAAATTTTACAATGTGTCAATGAAACAGCTAATTCTTCAGTTCTTTTTAAAAATTTGGTTTCCTGTTGGTTACCTGTAGAGCCACAACTTGCTGTTCCTTTAAAGAGCTCTCTCATTATTATAGAGCTAGCTGCTTTGTAATTTACACACACTTTCAAGGTGATTTTCCCCCAGGGTCAAGACTGTTTTCCCTTGGAACTGGAGGCAGGAAAGAAATAAAATGGAAGAAAAGGAAAAACAAGAACCCTGGTATATGCAGCGTAAGGAGTTGCCACTCTCCATTAGTTTCCAGTCATAGGTCTGTTCCTCTTGTACTTGCTGAAAGAAGGAAAATAGATTCACTGTTGCACTGTGTGAAGTAGTCTAAAACTTGGAGAGCAAGATATAGTCTGTTTTTCCCAGAAAAACTAGAACTGTTTAATTGTGGAAAGATAATCTAACTTTATCTCCTCCAAACACAGCTGTTTTGCTTTTGTCAAATTTAGAGAAGGTTAAAATATCTTAATAAGTGTATTGAATAATGCATATCAGCCTCCTGAGGTCTAAATAAAAATGATCATAAGATATTCAGACAAACAGAAGAGTGAGTCGGTCCTTTGGTGGAATAAAGGTAAATAAAACCGGATCCTTTTTGCAGATAAAATGCTCACCTACTTGTAGCTTAGTACCTTCTTCCAAGAAGTCTCATTGGAGGACTGGAGTAATCTAGGTGAACAGAACTCACAAAATGCAAGTACTACATACCAAAGAGCTGTTTCTAATTTATCTTATTATATTTAAAAAGGCTTGGCTTCACAAGCATGTCTTCAAAAATAAAAATAAAATAAATTACATTCACCACCAAAAAAGCTTGCATTTTGATGCAATGCCAAAAAAAATAACAAGAACCACTAAAACCTGCAATCAATGTGGATGGGCAAATAAAAATGGAAGAAAAAAAAATACACACAGCCTGTAATAGTACATAAGCACACATGCAGGCATAAGAGAAAAAAAGGGTCAAAAGCAAATGGATAAAGGAAACCTTTAGAAAGGTGTCTTGAGTTTTTCCATGTAGCAGGGTCTGTAGTTAAAGAGAAACAGCACAGAATAAGTTTAGTGCTTATCCCTAAAATTTTAAACCTTATTAAAAATTCAAATGTGCAGAAACCTGATCACATTTCAAATGCACATAGCATTCAATTATTCAAAATTTACTGACGAAAGTAAAGTTAGTGGCTAAGAAGAAAAATTAAGAATCCCACTGCGCAGTGCAAAATACAACTAGAATTAGAGGGATGTATATAATATTTTTAAGTCATAGAAACAAAGCATATTGCTTGCCATAACTTATTTTTAACATTTTTAGGAAACAACCTTTCCAATATAATTAGTTATATCTGGCTTGTCTGAAGGTAGTTATCTCAATTGACTGTTCAGTCAGTTACAGATGGAACTCCTTGTTCTACTCTTTCCCGCCTTACTACTGCACTTGACTAGTCTAAAAAATAAAAATTAAATTTTTAAAATTAATAAAAAAGTTATGTGACCATTATTTCTAATTCTGACACAAATGAAGCACAATTAATTCACTATTCAAAAATTTGGGCCAAGTGTGGGGCTCACACTTCTAATCTCAGCACTTTGAGAAGCCGAGGCAGACGGATCACCTGAGGTCAGGAGTTCAAGACCAGCCTGGCCAACATGGCAAAACCCCGTCTCTACTAAAAATACAAAAATTAGCTGGGCGTAGTGGCACACGCCTGTAATCCCAGCTACTCAGGAGGCTGAGGCAGGAGAATTGCTTGAACCCAGGAGGTTTCAGTGAGCTGAGATCATTGTGCCACTGCACACCAGCCTGGGCAACAGAGCAAGACTCTGCCTTAAAAAAAAAAAAAAAAAAAAAAACTTTGCCTGAGATATCTGATAACCTACTACAGGAAAAGATAAATTGCCTGATTTTTAAAAATCTACAAAATATACTAAATACATCTTTCAAAACCTTAAAAGTTGGTAAGTATATGCAAGTATTTGCCCCATTAGCTAAGACTGGACTATATAAGGGTATTTTATTTGAAACATACATTGGATTTAATAGAACACTGCAGAAAGTTAACTCTTGACCTTCGTGGACTCAGTCCAAAGGGAGACTACTACGTGTATCACAGCACCCTATGCAGAAAAATTAATCCTATCTTTTTCCTTTAATTCTAATGTGTAATTTTACTGCTTTTTGGGGGGCAACTGATTGCTTTTACAAATAGGTTACTTAATGAAATGGGGGTAAAATTTCAAATTATACCAAGATTTTAAGCATTATTCTACGAAACATGTATGTTTGCATTTTTTTTTTTTTTTTAAGACGGAGTCTTGCTCTGTTGCCCAGGCTGGAGTGCAATGGCTCGATCTCGGCTCACTACAACCTCCGCCTCCCGGGTTCAAGCGATTCTCCTGCCTCAGCCTCCCGATTAGCTGGGATTACAGGCACCCGCCACCACACCTAGCTTATTTTTGTATTTTTAGTAGAGATGGGGTTTCACCACGTTGGCCAGGCTGGTCTCGAACTCCTGACCTCAGGTGATCCACCCGCCTCGGCCTCCCAAAGTGCTAGGATTACAGGCGTGAGCCACCGCGCCCGGCCTATGTTTGCATTTTTTAAAAAGAAAACAAAAAACTTTTGCTTTAGTTCAACAACTTTTCTCCCCAAAATAAATTTTTTTTTCACATTTTTTTTCAAATTTCTACTGACACTGTTCAGAAGTATCATATATAGCACAATTTTGGCCTTTAATCAGCATGCTACTTTTGGATTTTGTCTCAAAGGAAAGCTGAGGAAAGCTTGATTTATTTCTTACAAATATATGAAAGATAACCGTGGAGTTCTGTTCAAACTGAACCACCACTCTACTCTAAAACATAGTTTAGTATTGTTTTTAATAAAAATTTAACAGAAAATTCTTTTACATGGGCAGAAGTAGGGGGCAAGCTGAGATGACCATAAATCTACATACTGACACCTCAGTTATCCCACAGTTGACAGAATGAAGAATCCTATGCTAAATAAATGTCCTGATGATTGAATTATACATATTAAACACTAAAATATTTTACTTTAGCCAGTTTTGATGAAGCTACATCTAAGATGGATTATACTTCTCCATGTCATCTTAGAATGTACTACTCTGAATCTACTATTGGTAACCTAGGTCTTTGTCATGTAACTAAGCCTTCACTGGCTAAATAAAATCCCTACACAAAATGTTAGTAACTGATTTCTTTTTTTTTTTTTTTTTTGAAAGTTTATGTTTCTTCCCTTTCTCCTCTCTTATTATCAGGCTGTCAGGTAGTTCACACTCTTCTAGCTAACTATATTGTTTATCTGCTTCATGGTTTCTAATTTTCTCTGGGTTAGAATGATTTATGATATGCTAGAATTGTTTATTCTAAGGATAAAGAAGCTTTGATGAAAAACTAACGAACTGTCTATGCTAGAATAAAACACGTGAAATCTAGTACTCAAATTTATATAATCTATATTGTGTTTGGGGTAGTTGAGTTGTCATTTTAAGCAAATATATATACAAAATCAGCACTAAGCTTGGAAAAAAACAGTAGGTAGGCAGATTTACTGACCAACCACTAAGAGGAGACATCAACAAAACATAGTGGACATAAAAACAAAGAGATACCAAAGAGCTGACACTACGATAGCTGAAATGTACACCCTTTTCTAACAAGCACAATTTTATCTAAGGAAACACTGCCCACAATTCAAATAGTTTCTGAGAGACAGGATATCATGGGCCCTCTCAAGGTGACAGAAGAAAATGGAAAGTTAAAAAAAAAAAAAAGAGAGAGAGAGAAAGACCTAATATCATATAGTGTCTTAAGGTCTTAGTTTCAGATGTTTGGTAAATTTGATGAAATCAGTGGGGATGAAATTTTATAAGTGTTATTCTATATATTTGAAGGTGAACCCCAGATTAATCCAACATGATTAAATTCAAGGTTCAGAACTTCAATAAGTATTAGAGAAATGCAAAGTGATGAATAACATACCCAGAAGCTACCTAATGTAATTAAAAGGCTCCCACATAGCCACTGGCAGTCTATCTAAAAATATTACTTGCAACATCTACAACTACACTAATTTGCTTCAGTGACTAACATTCTAGAGTCATAGCAGATGCTCATGAGGTTTTTTTTCCCCATTAAAAAAAAAATTCAAGTCATCACCACCAACAGCTCCTACAGTAAATGAAAAAATCAGACACAGAAATTAAAATAAGTTCAATTTTGTCAAAACTATCATCCCATCTTAAATCAGAATAAGAAGTAGAATAAAACTGCATTGAAAACAGATCTCTGCAGATAAGAAACAGATATGGTACTCTGCTGCAAAAGTAATTTAATAATTAGAGCTATGTTACAGAGTTCTATAAATAAGAAAGTCTGAGCCAAATACTGAACTAAATAGGAAGATTAAATACGTTACTCTCATTCAACATTTCAAACCTCATTAATATAAGTATAATTAACATAGGATACATATTTGGTAAGCAACTTAAAATCTGCTGATAGACACAGCATTCCCTAATATATTTTCAATTTAATCAAAAAAGAACGGTTATAAAGGACAATGCCTATTTTCTTCTTTTTTTTTTTTTTTTTTTTTGAGACGGAGTCTCACTCTGTCGCCTAGGCTGGAGTGCAGTGGCGTGATCTCAGCTCACTGCAACCTCTGCCTCCTGGGTTCAAGTGATTCTTCTGCCTCAGCCTCCTGAGTAGCTGGGACTACAGGCAAGTGCCACCAAATCTGGCTAATTTTTGTATTTTTAGCAGAGACGGGGTTTCACCATATTGGCCAGGCTGGTCTCGAACTTCTGACCTCGTGATCCACCCGCCTTGTGATCAGCACTTTGGGAGGCCAAGGCGGGCGGATGGCTTGAGGTCAGGAGTTCGAGACCAGCCTGGCCAACAAAGTGAAACCCTGTCTCTTCTAAAAATACAAAAATTAGCTGGGCATGGTGGGGGGCGCCTGTAATCCCAGCTACTTGGCAGGCTGAGGCAGGAGAATTGCTTGAACCCAGTAGGTGGAGGTTGCAGTGAGCCAAGATCATACCACTGCACTCCAGCCTGGGCGACAGAGTAAGACCTCCGTCTCAAAAACAAAACAAAACAAAAACTACTCTTTTTTTTACATTAAGAAAGATGCATACTACTTCTCACAGGACTTCTAACTATGCTACAGTCACTAATTTCTAATTATCTAATCAATTCATATCTTTTTAAGAATAGATCAAAAATGAAGAGCTGTAAAATAATTATCTCAAATCTGAAATTTACCATTTTCTTCTCCTGTTGTTTTCCGTTTATCTTCTTGTGAAACATGGACCAGTTGCAGAATGAGAGGTCTCCGGGTGACAATTCCAGTACCTCTGGGAAGCAGGTCCCTCCCCACCAGGCTTTCTAGCACTGAGCTCTTTCCGCTGCTCTGAAAACAGAATATATACAAGAGCAAAATGAGTTTCTTAACACATTTTTTGTTAATTCAATAAACTATATTAACAAACCAGCATACAGAATTATTTTAAAGGAAAAATTAGTGCAGAGACTATTTTTTTTTTTTTTTGAGACGGAGTTTCGCTCTTGTTGGCTAGGCTGGAGTGCAATGGCACGATCTCGGCTCACTGCAACCTCCGCCTCCCGGGTTCAAGCGATTCTCCTGCCTCAACCTCCCAAGTAGCTGGGATTACAGGCGTGTGCCACCACGCCTGGCTAATTTTTTGTATTTTTAGTAGAGACGGGGTTTCTCCATGTTGATTAGGCTGGTCTCGAACTCCCGACCTCAGGTGATCCACCTGCCTCAGCCTCCCAGTGCTGGGATTACAGGTGTAAGCCACCATGCCCGGCCACAGACTTTTTAAATGAAAGATAATTTTATTTCCTATTACATGATCTATTTGTTTTTAAGCCAAAACCAGAAAATAACAGCCCTGTTTTCCCATAATTATCCCACCTGTTTTGATACTCCACCAACCAGGTTTCAAAACCTACACAATATTGGTATATATAAAATCATGCCTATAATATGTAGTTGTTTTACTGTAAATGGGACAGTAATGCATATCTTTTTCTCTAACCTTCTATTTTTATTATTATTATTACAGTGTGTCACTCTATTACCCAGGCTAGAGTGCAGTGGTGTGATCACAGCTTATTGCAGCCTTGACCTCCCCAGGATCCGGTGATCCTCCCACATCAGCCTTCCCAGTAGCTGAGACTACAGGCACGCGCTACTATACCTGGCTAATTTTTGTATTTTGTAAAGGTGGGGCTTTGCCATGTTGCCTAGGCTTGTCTCAAACTCCTGGGCTCAAGCAATCCTCCCACCTCAGTCTCCCAAGTGCTGGGATTACAGGCATGAACCACTGCTCCTGGCCTAACCTGCTTTTATTTTTAATGTAATAATCAGGGATATTGTTCCATATCAATACATTAACTACTTCTGTGTTAATCCCAGCACTTTGGGAGGCTGAGGCGGGCAGATCATCTGAGGTCAGGAGTTCGAGACCAGCCTGGCCAACATGGCAAAACCCTGTCTCTACTAAAAATACAAAAATTAGCTGGGTGTGGTGGCACGCGCCTGTAATCCCAGCTACTCAGGAGGCTGAGGCAGGAGAATTGCTTGAACCCGGGAGGTGGAGGTTGCAGTAAGCCGAGGTCACACCACTACACTCCAGCCTGGGCATAGAGCAAGACTCCTTCTCAAAAAAAAGAAATAGCTAAAACAGTATTCTACTATGTATAAAACCAAACCCGAACTGATAAGCATTTAGATGGTTTTTGGTTTTTGCTGTTTTTAACAATGCTGCAATGAATGTGCTTATACATATAACCTTACTCACTTATCTTATTACCTCACTAGATTTAGTTCATTTAAGTTAAATTGCCGTTATTAATGAGCATACAGATTTTAAGCATTCATAGATACTGCCAGACTGCAAAGAAGAGGGAATCAAGCTATACTTCCAAGAGTTACCAGTTTGTTCAATTTGCTACAGCTCCATCAGTATTAAACATCATTGCTTTTTTTTTTTTTTTTTTTTTTTGAGATGGAGTCTTGCTCTGTCGCCCAGGCTGCTGGAGTGCAGTGGCACCATCTTGGCTCTCTGCAACCTCTACCTCCCAGGTTCAAGCAGTTCTCCTGCCTCAGCCTCCCAAGTAGCTGAGATTACAGGCGTGTGACACCACGCCCAGCGGTTTTGTATTTTTAGTAGAGACAGGGTTTCACCATGTGCGCCAGGCTGGTTTCAAACTCCTGACCTCAAGTGATCCGCCCGCCTCAGCCTCCCAAAGCATTGTTTTTTGAATCTTTGCTACTTTGATAGATGGATACCGACAGCTCATTTAAATTTACATTCCTTTATTATTAAGGTCAAGCATCCTTTTCTTTAATGGCTTTCTGTATTTCTCCTTTAGTGATCTGCTTATTCAAATGCTAGCCTTTTATATATTTCTTATTAGTTTATAATAAAGTTCTTTATCCATAATAAGTATTTCAATTTTTGTTGTTTTAAATATTTTCCAACTTTTTATTTTGAAATTTTCAATGCCACAAAAAAAGTTGCAAGAACGGTAACAGTGAATACTCATATATCTTAACATAATTCACCACTTATTAACATTTTGACACATTTACTTTATGTCTCTCTCTCCTTACATGTACACACAAAGACTTTTTTCCTTTTGCTGTCCCATTTGAGAGTTAGTTACAGAAATCATGATACTCCACTCTAAACATTGTGGCATGCATCTCCTAAGAACAAGGCCGTTCTTCTATAGAACCACAATACAATGATCACATTCAGGATTTTTTTTTTTTTTAAGAGATGGGGTCTCATTCTACCATTCAGGCTGGAGTGCAATGGCGTGATCATAGCTCACTGCAGCCTCTAACTTCTGGCCTCAAGAGACCCTCAGGCCACCTCTGCCTCCCGAGTAGCTAGGATTCCAGGAGCCAGCCACCACACCACTTACATTCAGGAAATTTAACATACATACAATACCAATATCCAATTACTAAATAATCAAAAATATCAATACTAACAGCTAATGCGATAAATAATCAAGTACTATATAAACCTCTATTATACATTTTAAAAATTTCTAAATTTGCCATTTTTCTTAAGTTTGCAATAAACTTATTTTTCTATACAGTATATTCTGTACTCTATTTTTTTCTTAGTCAAAACTTGTACTTTAAAAATTTATTTTCTACAAATGCAAAAGTCCTAATTTCATCAGTTATGTCAGACAGGGTCTGCAGGAAGCAGATGGCCCACTCAAATTAGATTAATTTAAAGAGGGTTTATTTACATAAGGACTATTTACAAAGCTGTGGGTGAGGCTTATAGGAAATCACAAGGGATAATGCAGTAACCCAGGCTAGTAACAAGAGAACAGCTCTCATCACCCCGAAGCCTAAAAGGAAGGACCAGGAGGACTAAGAGTGACACAGCCAGCCAGCCCAAGGCTCCTACATACAGAATGTATGAGATGGGGGAATCAAGACCGGGACTTTTTTTCTCCTCTTTCCTCCAATTCCCTGCCAGGGCTCCTCATTTCCACATCCAAATCAGAAGACAGACGACATAGGGGCTCATTCATGTTGTCCAGAAAGGTCCCCTATGATGGAAAACACAAATGCTGAATGGATCTGGAGAGTTAAATTGAGGAATATAAGACATGTCTGCGAAACTGCAGTTGTGATATCCAGGGTAGCCCCTCTCATTAAGTAAAACAGGGTGCTTTCCATCATTTCATTCCTGTACTCTGATACTGTACTCTGAAATAATTTTAACAACATATAGACATTTCCAGTTCTTTATATGTCTGACAAAATGTGTCCATAAAAAAAAAAAATCAAATTCTCTGATTTTCAAATTTATAGGCATAACTACTCATAATATTCTTAGAATGTTCATTTTTCTTATTTCTAATATTTTACGTTCTTTTTTTATGAGACTTTCCAAATGACTATTAAATTGATTTTATTGGCCAAATATTTTGCTGATTTTGCTTTGTAATTGATTTTTTTTAATATTGCTAATTTCTTCTTCCTGGGATTTTTTTTTCTCCTGGTGAAAGGAGGGTTTATCTGTTCTTTAAAAAAGCTCCTTGAGTTGAAACATTAGCTTTTTTCTCTATTTCAGCTACCAACACTTGCAACCCTCACCCACCCCTAACATAAACATACATTCCTCTAATCAGTCATCTCTATCTTCTTTCTTCCACACCAAGAGCTGTGGTTCTCAATGACAGTTTGTGACAGAATTAGAATAACACAATTACTTGTTTGCTTTTTATTTCATGTTACACACAGATTCTCAAAATAATAACACCAATACTACCACCACGAACATTATTACTGAAAGTAGTTTTTTAAATGTTTTGCATATAATCCCTCCATTCTCCTTCCCACCCCTTTACAGATCATATCTTCTTTCAAACCCTCATTTGGTCTTAGTTACGTGTAATACAAATCACCAGTCTTTAATGTGTCTCTAGTCATTCTGATTCTGACACCCATTCTCTAGTAGATTCCCCAGGAAGGGCTAATGGGAAAAATATTCTTCAAATTCTAGCATATTGTTTGTGACTTTTATTTTTTATATTTTTTTAGAGAGTCTCGCTCTATCACCTAGGCTGGAGTGCAATGGCATAATCGTGGCTCACTGCAGCCTCCATCTCACTGGTTCAAGCGACTCTCTTGCCTCAGCCTCCCAAGTAGCTGGGATTACAGGTACATGCCACCACACCTGGCTAATTTTTGTATTTTTAGTAGAGACGGGGTTTCACCGTGTTGGCCAGGCTGGTCTCAAACTCCTGACCTCAAAGTGATCCGCCCACCTTGGCCTCCCTACTGTCATAGGAGAAAGGAGACAATGAAATTCCATATTTAAGATAAGAAAGTGTACACCAGCCCGGTTGTGGTGGCTCACGCCTGTAATCCCAGCACTTTGGGAGGCCGAGGTGGGCAGATCACTTGAGGTCGGGAGTTTGAGACCAGCCTGGCCAACATGGTGAAACCCCATCTCTACTAAAAATACAAAAATTAGCCGGGCGTGGTGGCAGATGCCTGCAATCCCAGCTACTCAGGAGGCTGAGGTAGGATAATCACTTGAACCCGGGAGGCGGAGGTTGCAGTGAGCCGAGATCACGCCATTGCACGCCATTGGACAACAATAACAAACCTGTCTTTAAAAAAAAAAGACAGTAATCTGATTATTTTTCTTTTTTTTTTTTAGAGACACTGTCTAGCTCTGTTGCCCAGGCTGGAGTGCAGTGGTGCAATCACAGCTCACTGCAGCCTCCAATTCCTGGGCTCAATAGATTCTCCTCTCAGCCTTCCAAGTAACTTGGACTACAAGCTCACACCACCACACCCAGCGTGTGCATGCATGCGTGTGTAGACAGGGTCTCACTATATTGTGTGTGTGTGTGTGTGTGTGTGTGTGTGTGTTTGTGTGTGTGTGTAGACAGGGTCTCACTATATTGCCCAGGCTGGTCTCAAACTCCTGGGCTCAAGCGATACCCCCACCTTGGCCTCCCAAAAGTGTTGGGACTACAGGTATGAGCTACCACACCTGGCCCTGATTTTCCTTTACTTATAAAGGTAAGAGACTTTGTGACTTCTGCCTGTATGTCTGAGGATTTTTATTTTTCCTTTAAAGTCCAATAATTTTTCTAGACTATGTCTCAGTATTGGTCTACCGTGTCACTTTCTTAGGTATGTGCTGTACTCTTCCAAAATTTAGTTCCCCATCTACTTTTATTTCATTAAAATTGTCTTGTATTGTAATTTTTAGTACCCATTCTGTTCCCTTGCTATAGTTTTCTTCTTTGGGGACACCTAATATACATATGTTGGATTTTCTTTACTTGTTTCCAACGTGTCAATTTCTACAAAATTCTTTTTACATCTCTTTATTTTTAATGTCTTTCTCCTTTTCAGCTTCTTTCCCTCATAAGGTATTATCTGTTACGTTTACTTGCTCTTGTGTTCCTTCTAATTTGTCTTCATTTCTAAAATAAATTTTGTTTCATTTCATTCATTCATTCACTTAATTTATCCAAGACAAGGTCTCACTCTGTTGCCCAGGCTGGTGTGCGGTGGCACCAGCACAGTCCACTGCAGCCTCAACCTTCCCAGGCTCAGGTGATCCTCCCACCTCACCCTCCCGAGTAGCTGGGACTACACGCATACACCATCACATCCAGCTAATTTTTCTATTTTTTGTAGAGACAGGGTTTCCCCATGTTGCCCAGGCTGGTCTCAAATTCCTGGACTCAAGCGAATCCTCCTGCCTCAGCCTCCTAAAGTGCTGGGATTACAGGTGTGAGCCACCATGTCCAGCCATTTTCTTTTATTTATAATACTTCACTATCACTTAATTTTTTAATTTTTCTTATGCAAATTAATTTTTGAAATGTCTTATCATTGTAGTGTCTTCTGTCTTGCCTTTTGTCTTAATATCTCACAGTTTTTGTTTGTTTTCTAAGTATGTCTTTCTGGTGTGCTTTCATTTCCTTGTCTAAGGGGTCTTGTTTTTCTTCAAAAATTTGCATGACATTTGACAACAATCATTTCATACTGTTGACTTTTGAAAGAGGCTTGGCTCTGAATAGCTACTCTGCCTTTATACTCTAAAAATCCCTCTTGTTGTTTTCATATAGTATTCAAAAATATAGTTTCTTGCTTTCTGAGGTATCTTGGCCCTGTTTACCTCCCCTGCTTTTATCTGGACCTTCTCTTTCCTTGGTCTGTATTCTTCAGAGGATACTCAATTGTATCCTCGGTTCCTTCTTCTTGTGAGGAGTGGGCCTGGAAGGGAGCTTTGGTTAGTTTTTAAAGTTTCATGAAGGAGCGCTAGTCCCTTCAGACTTTACAACTGATCCCTTTCACTCACCCATTATCGATGTGTGCAATACCCTTCCCAAATTCCCATTTCAGCTGGTATTCTAAAATCGGCCCTTTAAAAAGCTTTCCAGTGATTGCCTTTGGGTTATTTACAATTCTCCGCTCCATCAGAAGTTCCACTGCTTCCTTCTGCTTCTTCCAGTATGGATAACAATGGTTTGTTCCCAATCTGCTGGTATTTGAGCGTTTGTAGAGAAACATAGTCAACTAATTTTCTTGTACACATTTTCTATGTGTTTTTGGTTTTCCTATCCTATTTGTTCTGTTTTAGGGGAAAGTCATATAGATATTTAGGAAACTATTCTACCACTGCTGTCATCTTCCCAGGATCCCTAATATGGATATTTAATCCACTAGAGGTATCAAGACTAATGTTTAGTCTTATAAAAGTTATTTTATACTTCAGTCATAAAAAGGAATAAGGTACCGATGCACGCTCCAACATGGATGAATCTAAAAACATTATTCTGCTAAGTTAAAGTTAGTCAGTCACAAAAGACCACATATTATTTGACCCTGTTTATATGAAATGTCCAAAATATGGCCGGGCGCGGTGGCTCACGCCTGTAATCCCAGCACTTTGGGAGGCCAAGGCAGGCGGATCACAAGGTCAGGAGTTCGAGACCAACCTGGCCAACATGGTGAAACCCCATCTCAACTAAAAATACAAAAATTACACGGGCAAGGTGGCACGCACCTGTAGTCCCAGCTACTCAGGATAGGCTGAGGCAGCAGAACTGCTTGAACCCAGGAGGCGGAGGTTGTAGTGAGCCAAGACTGTGCCACTGCACTCCAGCCTGGGCAACAGGGCGAGACTCCATCTCAAAAAAAGAGAAATGTCCAAAATAGGCAAATCTATAGCTAGAAAGTAGATTATGTGGCTGTTTAGGGACAGAGTGAAGAAGAATGGGGAGTGACTACTAATGGATACCAGGTTTCTTTCTAGAATGATGGTATATTCTAAAATTAGTTTAAAGGTGATGGAAAGGCCAGGCGAGGTGGCACATGCCTGTAACCCCAGCAATGTGGGAGGCCAAGGTAGGCAGATCACTTGAGGCCAAGGAGTTCAAGACCATCCTGGGCAACATGGTGAAACCTCATCTTTACAAAAAATAAAAAAATTAGCCAGGCAAGGTTGCACATGCCTGTAGTACCAGCTGCTCGGGAGGCTTAGACAGATGGATCACTTGAGCCCAGGGGATTGAGGCTGCAGTGAGCCATGGTCATGCCACTGCACTCCAGCCTGGGCAAGAGAGTGAGACCCTGTCTTAAAAAGAAAAGAAAAAAGAAAAGTTTAAGGTGATGGTTGTGCGACTCTATAAATATGCTAAAAAAAACACTGAATTACACATTGTAAATGGGTATGTTATGGTATAGAGTGTATCTCAGTAAAGCTGTTAAAAAACAAAATAAAGGAGAATGACTTCTTAAACAATATACAAAATGTACAAAACCACAGAAGAAAAGATAATTCAACCACAATAAAATTAAAACTTCTTTTCCTCACAGAAAAAATTCAGGGAAAACATTTGTGATCCATAAGTAACTGGTAACCAAAATGTATAAATAACTCCCACAAATCAAATTCTTAAAAATACCTAACAAAATAATGTGCAGAGATATCAACAAAAACTCACAAAACAAAACCTCAAAGAGCCAAGAAACATGATAAGATGCTCACACTCACTAGTAATCAGGAGGATGCAATAGAAACCACAATGAGGTACCATAAATTTAAAATGTGACTATAGAAAGTACAGATATAAATAAACTTCACTCTGTTGATGGGAATGTAAATTACAGCCATCCTGAGAAGCAATAGCAATATCCAATAAATATACCCTACAGTCTGGCAATTCCACTCCTTGATTCGTTAGAGAAATTCTCAAACATGAGACATTTATATGAATATCCGCAGTACCACTGTTTACAAAAACAGCTATAGCAAACACTGGGGAACACACAAATTTCAACAGGATATATTCCTATAATGGACCATTATATAGCAGTATAAGTGAACAAACTGGGATTATATGTGTGTATATAAATAAATTTCACATGACTGTGTAAAAACATATATACAGATTACAGCTACTTTGTGACTGATAGTGAGTGGAACTTCCACCTGATATATCCCTATTATACTATGAAAATGTACAAATACCTGAAATGTAAAAATGAGCCTAATGTTAAGATGGATAGGAAGGACACTGTGACTAGTTCTGTGTGGAGTTTGGTAGCACTGTGATTCATTTGATGCTTCTAGAAACCACAAAAAACTATACATTGGAGAAATTATGGACTCTGTGTTCTTATGATGACTAGTTAGTTCTGAAGCACCTGGACATTATCTGAAGACTTCATTCTTGGAATAGAAGATGACATTTCATCCCTGACTCCAGTGGAGTTCAAGTGTGAATAAAATGATATGAACTGCTTTTGTCATTTCAGAATTAGACTGAGTCACTTCTTGGAAAATATAGCTCCTAAACCCCAGTTTAGGTGCTGTTAAAATAAGTATCATCTACCTCACGGGTACTCATGGTGACTGACTCTTGGAGACTCTAGAATGCACCAAAACAAACAAACAAACAAACAAATTCCAGACATTCAAACTAAAACTTTTAACATGTTGTCGCTATTCCTGAGATCCCAGCAGGACTTCCTGGAGCCTGTGCTTAACTTGATCTCTCTGCTTAGATTTTAATTAATTTTGCTTAAATGTAAATCTTATTCTATAGAATGGAATGAGCAAAATTTTAAATAATTAAAATATATATCACCACCCAAAAAGAAAAAAAGAGAAAATGGTTATAGTATGAATGAATACAGAATTTTATAATCACAATTTCCCTAAGAACTCTATTAAACATTTCTCCATGCAGTAACATTTACTGTGACAGATTGGAATCTAATGCCAGTCTGATTCTCTTTCCCGTTTAAGAAAGCTTTTTTTTTTCCTCCCTCCTATTTCAATTTAGAAGCTTGTAGTATTCTTTTAATTTCAGAAATTTAACCAGGGTATGTCTCTTCTCTCAATATTTATGTGCAGCAATTGAGACCTGAAGATGTCGTACTTCAGCTCTGGGGAACTTTTGTCTTTTATCTGTTAGGATTATCGTTTCTCTCCTCATCTGCTCCAAGTGCTCTTAATCAATCATCTATGATCAGGCTTTTGGCTCTCTTAGCACTCACCTTCAATCTCTTATCTCTAATAAATTCCGTAACATATGTTTTTGATCTGCCTTTTTAGGACAGGTTGTAACAGACTTAATTGTGTCTTCCCAAAATTTATATGTTGAAGCCCTAACCCCCAGTACCTCGGAATGTGACTATATTTGCAGACAGGGCCTTTAAAGAGGCGATTAAGTTAAAACAAGTCCAGCCGGGCACGGTGGCTCATACCTGTAATCCCAGCACTTCAGGAGGCCAAGGCGGGTGGATCACGAGGTCAAGAGATTGAGACCATCCTGGCCAACATGGTGAAAACCCAACCCCGTCTCTACTAAAAATACAAAAATTAGCTGGGTGTGGTGGCACGTGCCTATAGTCCCAGCTACTTGGGAGGCTGAGGCAGGAGAATCGCTTGAACCAGGGAGGCAGAGGTTACAGTGAGCCGAGATCGCGCCTCTGCACTCCAGCCTGGCGACAGAGCGAGACTCCATCTAAAAAAAACAAGGCTACTGGGGTGCTGGGCCCATAATCCAAACTGACTGACATTCTTACAAGAAGAGGAAATTTAGACACAGAGACACCACGGACACAGCAAGAAGGCAGCCATCTACGAGCCAAGGAAAAAGGCCTCAAAAGAAACCAAACCTGCTGACACTTTGATCTTGGACTTCTAGCCTCCAGAACTGTGAGAAAATAAACTTCTGCTTTTTAAGCTACCCAGTCTGTGACATTTTGTTATGGCAGCCCTAGCAAACTAATACAGAAGTTACAAACTCAACTGCGCACACATGCAATGAATAAAATCAATCCAGACTTTGGTCAAAATGACATCAGAATGTCAACCATACTTCAGTAAAGTGATTTTTTTAATGCCATCAGATTGTATTCTGACATTTTGTACATGAAAATAAGAACATTTCTATACATCTGCCCCAAAATGCTCATTTTTCTTAAAATGTACAGCCATTTTAATCAGTAGTAATGGCTAACATTAATCGAACATACTACATTGCTACTACCATTCCAAGTGATTTACCTCATTTAAGTCTAACAACTCTATGAGATGGTTACTATTTAATTCTCACTTTATATATGAGTTAGCTGAGTTTTAGAAAAATTATGTAACTTGCCCAGATATAATTAGGTAACAAGTAACAGGGATGAATTATAACCCAGTAGTCTTCAACTTTCCCACTTTTGATGCAGATGTAGAAGTAGGAAATATTTCATTGCTTATTTTACACTATAAAGAAAGACAGCACATATATGATGATAACTGGCAACCAGGGAAGGCAACTGGGAGCAATAGGAGCTGTGGCTAACTAGATATTAACTGACCCACCTAAAGCAGGCATTATTCAAATCCACTGGGAATATGGGTTAAGGGTTATCAGATTTTCTGATTTTTTTAAGGCAAAACCAGAAATCTGGGCCTTTCAACTAAATCTACCAATTTTTAAACATTGGCAACTAATTCATTTATTTTTAATACTGTATGTGTCAACACACACAGACTAAATGAAACACATCTGTGGGCTCCCAATGTTTTACCTCTCATCTAGATTCACTACTATAAATGGTACTGGCTTCTTCAACAATTGGTTCTATCAGTGCTTTTTCCCCCACCTGGTGATTTAAACATCCCATGTCTGGGTTCTTCCCAGAAAGTCGAGTAGCTACAAGAGTTCTAAAGTGGCAAAAATCACAGCTAGCTTGTTCTGAAAATCGGGCTCCACTGGCACTACAAGGCCTTCAGATTTTTTTCTCCACAAACTCCCAAAGCTGATTCAATAACCTGTATTATATTTACGAGCTAAAGATTTGTGTGCCTGGTCTCAGTGTCATCTTTTAGTTTTAGTTTCTTCCAAACTGCACTGTATTGGGATTTTTAGTGTTTTGAATTTATATTTTGAAATGTGGCCTTTCATGGAAAAGGTTTTGTTGTATTTTCAGCTCTTCCCTAATAATCAGCATCAGTTGGGGTTGAGGAGTTAATAATGTTCATTCATACCACATTAACCAAAGCTGATCCCTTATTCAACTTCTAAGTTTTAATTTTTCATTGTGTAAGGCAGACCTCTCAATTCTTTATTTTGATATTAATATAGTAAACATATATGTCTCAATATTTTACTTTTTATTTTGAAATAATTTTAGATTTACAGAAGGTTTCCTTATATATTTGCTTCACTTATTTAAATAAAATATTTCTAAGAGTGTCCTTAGAAATGTTAATCTTATGGTATTTAAAACAGCTAAACTACGCCGGGCCCAGTGGCTCATGCCTGTAATCCCAGCACTTTGGGAGGGTGAGGCGGGCAGATCACCTGAGGTTGAGACCAGACTGACTAACATGGAGAAACCTTGTCTCTACTAAAAATACAAAATTAGCCAGGCGTGGTGGCGCATGCCTGTAATCCCAGCTACTCGGGAAGCTGAGACAGTAGAATCACTTGAACTCAGGAGGCAGAAGTTGCAGTCAGCCAGGATCACGCCATTGCAATCCAGCCTGGGCAACGAGAGCGAAACTCTGCCTCAAAAATAAAATAAAATAAAATAGCTAAACTACAATGTTTCTACCATATAGCTCAAACCCTCTACCTAATGACAAAATATAAATATGAAGTTTAAACCACTTCATAATTTGTAGTTAATATGTGGGGTGTTTTTTGTTCTTAAGAGACCAGGTCTCACTATGTTGCTTAGGCTGGAGTGCAGCAGCTATTCACAGCACAATCACAGTGAACTACAGCCCTCAACCTCCTGGGCTCAAGCAGCCTTGCCACCAGGTCTCCCAAGTAAAAGGGACTACAGGCACAGGCCACCACACTTGGCTTAAAAGAGTGTTCTTATATGAACTTAATACCCAAAATCCAAACTTTCTAAAATACTGCAGACCTAACAGTCCTTAGGAAGGAATTTTTTCTTGGTTATAAAACTATAGGTCCAGTGCTTTCTAGATCACTAAGAGAGAGATTCAGATATCTGATAAGGCAGAATTATCGTCTGTGAAAATCCCCACTTCTTCCATAAAAGCATGAAAAAGTGATATGAATCTACACATCCAAGAAGCTCGATGAACTCAAAGCAGGATAAACACAAAGAAATACACACATTGAGATAAATTATAATCAAACTGTTGAAAGACAAAGACAAATGCTAAAAGCAGCAAGAGAGAAGCTAAGAGTCATGAACAAGGGATCCTCAGTAAGACTAACAACAGATACAACAGACTTCTCATCAGAAACCATAGGGGCCACAGCAGCTCTGCCTATGGAGTAGCCATTCTTTTATTCCTTTACTTTAATAAACTTGTTTTCAAAGAAAGAAAAGAGAAAAGAAACCATAGGAGCCAGAGGCAGTAAGATAAAGTGCTAAAAGAAAAAACCTCCCCATCAAAAATTCTAACTTAAAATGGTTAAGATGCCAATAAAACCTGAAGCAACCTATAGAGGCAACACAATCCCCATCAAAATCCCAACTGTCTTGTTTACAGAAATGGAGAAGCCAAATCTAAAATTCATACGGGGCCCACACAGTGGCTCACGCCTGTAATCCCAGCATTTTGGGAGGCCAAGGTGGGCAGATCACCTGAGGTTAGGAGTTTGAGATCAATCTTGCCAACGTGGTGAAACCCCATCTCTACTAAAAAAACAAATATTAGCCAGGCATGGTGGTGGGCACCTGTAATCTCAGCTACTTGCAGCCTGAGGTGGTTGGATCGCTTGAACCCAGGAGGCAGAGGCTGCAAGTGAAACGAGATCACGCCACTGCACTCCAGCCTGGGCGACAGAGTAAGACTACCTCTCAAAATAAAATAATATAAAATAAAATTCATATTGAATGACAAGGGACCCCAAACAACCAAAACAATTTTGAAAAAGAAAAACAATGCTGGTAAAGTTACACTTCTCAAATTTTAAATATACTCCAAAGCTACAGTAATCAAAGCAGAATAGAACTGAGAATCCAGAAATAAACCCATATAATAAATCTTTGGCTGGCCAGGCATGGTGGCTCATGCCTGTATTCCCAGCACTTTGGGAGGCCGAGGTGGATGGATCACCTGAGGTCAGGAGTTCAAGACCAGCCTGGCCAACATGGCAAAACCCCGTATCTACTAAAAAAAAATACCAAAAAAAATAGCCCGGCGTGATGGCAGGTGACTGTAGTCTCAGCTACTTGGGAGGATGAGGCAGAAGAATCGCTTGAACTCAGGAGGTGGAGGCTGTAGTGACCCAAGACTGCATCATTGCACTCCAGCCTGGGTGACAGAGTGAGACCCTGTCTCAACAACAACAACAAAATCTTTGCTCAACTGATTTTCAACAATGCCAAGACTATTCAATGGGGAAAGAACAGTCTCTCCAACAAATGGTACTAGGTCAACTGGAGAAGCACGTGCAAAAAAAATGAAATGAACCCCTACCTCATACCATACCAAGATGTACTCAAAATGGATCAAAAGCCTAAATATACAAGCCAAAACTATAAAATAATTAGGGGAAAAAACATTAAAAAATAAAAAAAAATCTTCACGGCTTTGGATTTGTCAATGCCTTAGATATGACACCATAAAGCAATAAAAGGAAAAAAAAAGATAAATTAGCCTTAACCAAAAGTAAAACCTTTTGTGTATTGAAGGACACTAACAAGGAAGCAAAAAGACAAGGCCGGGTGTGGTGGCTCATGCCTATAATGCCAGCACTTTGGGAGGCCAAGGCAGGCGGATCACCTGAGGTCAGGAGTTCAAGACCAGCCTGGCCACCTGGGCAACAGAGCGAGACTCCATCTCAAAAAAAAAAAAAAAAAAAGAAAAAAAAGAACTCTTACAACCTCAACAATAAGACAACCCCAACAAACACATGAAAAGATGTTCAACACCATTAGTCATTAGGGAAATGCAAAACAAAACTTCACACCCATTAGGATGACTATAATCAAAAACAGATAATAACAAATGTTGACAAAGATACAGAAAAACTGCACCCTTCAAACATTGCTGGTGGGAATTTTAAAATGGTGTAGCTGCTGTGGAAAAGTGGTTGCTCAAAAAGTTAAACAAAATTACCATAGAACCCAGTAATTTTACTCCTAGGTATATACCAAAATAACTGATAACAGGTACTCAAATACTTGTACACCAATATTCACAGCAGCACTATTCACAACAGCTAAAAGGCAGAAACAACCCAATTGCTCATCAATAGGTGATTGAATAAACCAATGTGGTTTATACATATAACAGAATATTACTCAGCCATTAAATGGAAAAGAAAGAAGAGGGAGTGACAGCTCAATAGTAGTTTTCTTTCGTGATGAAATTGTTTTGGACCTAGACAGAGATGTCATTATGAATGCACTAAATGACACTGAATTATACATTTTATAAAAGGGCTAATTTTGGCTGGGCACAGTGGCTCACACCTGTAATCCCAGCACTTTGGGAGGTCGAGGTGGACGGATCACCTGAGGTCATGAGTTTGAGACTAGCCTGACCAACATGGAGAAACCCTGTCTCTACTAAAAATACAAAATTAGCCAGGCATGGCACATGCTTGTAATCCCAGCTACTTGAGAGGCTGAGGCAGGAGAATCACTTGAACCCGGGAGGTGGAGGTTGCTGTGAGCCGAGATCGCGCCATTGCACTCCAGCCTGGGCAACAAGAGCAAAACTCCATCTCAAAAAAAAAAAAAAAAAAAAAAGGCTAATTTTATGTTCTGCAAATTTCACCTCAATTTTGTTAAGTTAAAAAAAAGCAGCAGCTCATAATCTATACAAAAAAAGAGAAAAACATAAATTTATCTAAGAACACAAGAAAACAATGCATAAGCAGGAATTAAATTATAGTCAATAAATGCTAAAATGTAGACAGCAGTGCTCATGGAGAAAAAAAAGAGAGAGGGACATCAAACTATGAAAAAAGTTGTCCATAAGAGAAGGAAATGGCATAGGTGTCAAAAAGTGCTGTTTTTCAAATAAAGAATTCCAGAATGATTTAGCGCTTAAAAAAAAAAGATAACAACAAGTGTTGATAAGGATGTGCAGAAACCTGAACCCTGGAGGGGATGTGAAATGGTGCAGCCACGGCTGGGCGCAGCAGCTCACGCCTGTAATCCCAGCACTTTGGGAGGCCGAGGTGGGTGGATCATTTGAGGTCAGGAGTTCGAGACCAGCCTGACCAATATAAGGAAACCCTCGCCTCTACTAAAAATACAAAAAGTAGCCGGGCAGTAGTGGCGGGCACCTGTAATCCCAGCTACTCAGGATGCTGAAGCAGGAGAACGCCTTGAGCCTGGGAGGCAGAGGTTGCGGTAAGCCAAGATAGCGCCACAGCACTCCAGTCTGGGCGAGAAAGTGAGACCCTGTCTCAAAAAAAAAAAAAAAAAAAGGTGCAGCCACTATGGAAAACACTTTGGTAGTTTTTCAGAAAGTTAAACGTAAGAATTATCATATGAATCAGCAAGTCTACGCTTAGATATATACCCAAGAGAATCAAAAATACACATTCACTGACCGGGCGCGGTGGCTCACGCCTGTAATCCCAGCACTTTGGGAGGCCGAGGCGGGTGGATCACGAGGTGAGGAGATCGAGACCATCCTGGCTAACACGGTGAAACCCTGTCTCTACTAAAAACAAAAAATTAGCTGGGCGTGGTAGCGGGCACCTGCAGTCCCAGCTACTCGGGAGGCTGAGGCAGGAGAACGGCGTAAACCCGGGAGGCGGAGCTTGCGGTGAGCCAAGATCACGCCACTGCATTCCAGCCTGTGTGACAGAGCGAGACTCCATCTCAAAAAAAAAAAAAAAATACACATTCACACAAAAACTTGTAAACGAATGTTCGCAGAGCATTATTTATTCATAATAGCCAAAAAATAGAAACAACCCAAAAATTCATCAATTGATGAATAAACTGTGCTGTATCTATACAATGTAATATTTATTATTCTGCCATGCTACATAATGGATGAACCTAAAAAACATTATGTTGAGTGGCTCATGCCTATAATCCCAGCACTTTGGGAAGCTGAGGCAGGCAGATCACTTGAGGTCAGGAGTTCGAGACCAGCCTGGCCAACATGGCAAAACCTCGTCTCTACTAAAAATACAAAAAAATTAGCTGGGTGCGGTAGCACGCGCCTGTAATCCGGGCTGAGGCAGAAGAATCACCTGAACCCGGAAGGTGAAGGGTTGCAGTGAGCTGAGATTGTGCCATTGCACTCCAGCCTGAGCAACAGAGCAAAACTCTGTCTCAAAAAAGAAAAAAAAAAAGAATTATGTTGAGCAACAGATGCCTGGCACAAAAGATCAAATCACATATTATAGGATTCCACTAATGTGAAATATCCCAAATAGGCAAATCCATACAGACAAAAAGTAGATTAGTGGTTGCCAGTGATACCTGCTTTTTCCAGTATCATGCATTTTAAAATCCAATGATTCACTAATATATTTTTCAAATTAGGATCTAGGAACCATCTGTATCAGAGTCACCGATGGACCCTCACCCACGTGGGGCTTATAAAATCAAAACCTGTCAGAAGCTGGGGGAGGACAAAACGGGGGTGACTGCTTATGGGCAGGAGTTTTCTTTTTCAGGTAATGAAAATATTTTGGAATTACACTATGGTGGTACAACTTTGTGAACATACTAAACGCTGCTGAGTTGTGTATACTTTATAAGGGTGAATTTTGTGTTACATGAATATTTCAGTATTTTTAATGTTAAATTTTTAAAAGTTGATTTGCAAATTAGAAATTAAAATCCAAATTACTGGCCGGGCATGGTGGCTCATACCTGTTATCCCAGCAGGAGGCTGAGGCAGGCAGATCATTTGAGGTCAGGAGTTTGAGACCAGTCTGGCCAACGTTGTAAAATGCTGTCTCTACTAAAAATACAAAAATTAGGCCGAGCACAGTGGCTCATGTCTGTAATTCCAGCACTTTGGGAGGCCAAGGCAAGTGGATCATGAGGTCAGGAGTTCGAGACCAGCCTGACCAACACAGTGAAACCCCATCTCTACTAAAAATACAAAAATTAGCTGGGCGTGGTGGCATGCACCTGTAATCCCAGCTACTCAGGAGGCTGAGGCAGGAGAATCACTTGAACTCGGGAAGCGGAGGTTGCAGTGAGTTGAGATCGCACCACTGCACTCCAGCCTGGACAACAGAGCAAGACTCCATCTCTAAAAAAATAAATAATAAAATAAAATAAAATCCAAATTATTTTTAGGCTAGGTGCAGTGGCTCACACCTATACTCCTAGCACTTTGGGAGGCCAAGGCAAGAGGATCATTTGAGCCCAGGAGTTTGAGACCAGCCTTGGCAACATAGTAAGGCAGCGATTTTAAATTTAAAAAAAAAAATTAGCCAGATGCGTGCCTGTAGTCCCAGCTACTCAGGAGGCTGAGGCAAGAGGACTGCTTGAGCCCAGGAATTTGAGGTTACAGTGAGCTATGGATTATGCCACTGCACTCCAGCCTGGGTGAAAGAGCCAGACCCTAAAAAAATAAAAATAAAAAATCCAAATTGTTTTTCCTTTTACATTTGTCTGAATTACTGAAGATAGAATGCTGAAATCACTGAAATAAAAGGAAAAGTGTAAAGTACATTACTAGGAACACTAAGCCAGAGTCTCAGGTTAATGTCATCTGTATTCGGATACCTATATTGGGTGGTAGTTTAGATTACATACCTGGAGGGCTCCCCTTTCCAATTCTTAATTTAAGAAATAGGATTAAATTTCCCAAGTTGAGTCACAAAAGTTGTTTTAAGTCTTATCTCCTCTACTTGCAAAGTTACACCATGGTCTAAAAGTATCATCAGCCTTCTCTCTCTCCCCACTGTGTCTGTTCATTTCACACAGATGGTCTCTACTAGAAAAAATAAAAGCAATTTATTTAGCTAACACATAAAACATGTGAATGACTGATAGCTGTAAACAGGATTCCCTCACCTCCACTCCTCCAAGTCCCTAGCCCCCAAATGAGTGTTACTTGGGCATTTCATAAAACCAAAGTTTAAAACATTTAGGGGTCAGCAATGGTTGCCTGGGAAGTGATATATTAAAGCAAGAATGCCACCAAAGTCAGCATGGTACTGGATGGTAGTATGCCATAGATTCAACCTCCCCTAATTTTCCTGCTTTTTCCAGTATCATGCATTTTAAAATCCAATGATTCACTAATATGTTTTTCAAATTAGGATCTAGGAACCATCTGTATCAGAATCACCTATGGTCCCTCACCCAACCCAGGCTTATAAAATCAAAATCTCTGGAGACAGGATCCAGGAAACTTAGTTTCAAAGTGATTCTTAGGCCAGGCGGGGTGGTTCACACCTGTAATCCCAGCACTTTGGGAGGCCGAGACGGGTGGATCACCTGAGGTCGGGAGTTGGATACCAGCCTGACCAACATGGAGAAACTCTGTCTCTACTAAAAATACAAAATTAGCCGGGCGTGGTGGTGCATGCCTGTAATCCCAGCTATGTGGGAGGCTGAGGCAGGAGAATCACTTGAAGCCGGGAGGCAGAGGTTGCAGTGAACCAAGATCATGGCACTGCACTCTAGCCTGGGCAACAAGAGCGAAACTCGGTCTCAAAAAAAAAAAACCAAAGTGATTCTTAATACACACTCAAGTCTGAGAATCACTGTTCCAAAAAGTTCAACAAGATAGAAACTGAAGCCATTTAAGGTATGGATAATATGTAGGATAGAGACTACACTTGAAGTTGTTTTTTAATTTTTTTTTGGAAGAATCAGGGTCTCACTCTGTCGCCCAGGCTGGAGTGCCATCGCAGAATCATAGCTCACTGCAGCCTCAAACTCCTGGACTCAGGCAATCTTCCCAAGTAGCTGGGACTACCGGCACACACTACACACCATAGCACCTGGCTAATTTATACCTGTATTCTGAAGACACAATTACTGCCGATAGGTATACTAGGCAGAACTAAGTACAGAACACTTATATGTCTGGAACTCACTCACTACAATTACTTCATTAAATATAAATGTGAGGTATACATATATGTTACACAACACCAAAGAGTAAAAATGGCAGACATCACAAAGTAATGGTATACTAGTATTCAAACCAAGAAGAGATTCTTGTTTCCCCAACACACTACAAAAAAGGCGGGGGCGGGGGGGCGGTGTGGGGAGAAAATAGGGGCGGGGGGGGCGGTGTGGGGAGAAAATAGTTTCTATTCTCTCTCTTTCTGCTGGGGTGCAGTGACATGCACTCCTGCACGCACCACAGCCTCAACCTCCCAGGCTCAGGTGATCCTCCCACCTCAGCCTGCAGAGTAGCTGGGACTACAGGTTCGCACCACCATGCCCAGCTAATTTTCGTATTTTTCGTAAAGATGGAGTTTCCCCACGTTGCCCAGGCTGGTCTTGAACTCCTGGAATCAAGTGATCTGCCTACCTCGGATAATTTCTATTCTGTATTTCTTCTGTACTTGAGTAAAAGACTGATTATCAGCTAATAAGAACTTAGATGGAAATAACCCTCATTAAATCAAGTAGAAAAACTGACCTCTTGAGAAATTTCAAACACCAACATGCAAATATAGCATATAACTGTCAGTACTAGGATGGTTTTTGCACATGTTAATGGCTTTCAGAAGGATGGGATCTTTACTTTTCTCTCCTGCCACTCTGTATTTTGCCAACAGGTTTACTGACCAAAATAAACTCTATTTTGTGTAAAAAGAAAAAAACAACTTATTGATTTTAAACTATTTATGCTGACACACTATATCCCTAATTCTTTTACTTCCTCATGCTTAAAAAGCACTGAGACTCTCTTTTAAAAGTATGTGGAAAGTTTCTAGTGTGCAGCTAGAAGACACTTCTGAATCACTTACTATCAAAGACTTAATTTATATTATCTCTAACTTTTTACAAAAACAGGTTAGTTTTGATGATAAAAGTCCCAGTGTTTTAAAACATTGTGGTTAGAGTGAGCAATATTTACTCAAAATATTTACAGAGCACTTACTATATGTCCCAGACTGAACAAAATTATGTTCAATAAAAAATAATCCTCGTAATTTGTTTGATGCTTCTGAGTCTCCAAACATTACAAATATTGTTACAAATACTAGAATACGTAGGCAAGATTGAGCAGAATCTTTCCCAATCCTATCGCAGACCAAGGAAATGTGTTTCTAAAACAATTTCTATTGCTTCAACTATTTAAAAGCCAAAAAAACAAACAAACAAACAAACGAGTACAGGGTGTCTATAGTTTCCAGTGTTTGGATAGCCACTAATACTTTGAACAGTAAGTTCCTTCTGATAGCACTTATACCCTATACTATGTACCTCCTGGAAAATGATGGGGAAACCGCTCCTTCTCAATAGAAAAGATACTATTAAGAAATGAAAGCACTTAATATCAATATACTAATTTCTAAAATCCGTTTCTCTGAACTCTAATCGAAGTAGCAGAGAAAAGGAAAATTATACTTCTCCTCTGTCACTCTAGAAATAACAGTTATTTTGCCAACATTTCTGCATTCAAAAAAAAATGAGTTAGCTATGAGAAGACCAGAGAAACTGATGCCCAATTTAGGTCACGATCACAAAACTGTGGAAGACAAAAAGCACAGCCTACGCAGAAAAATCGGATATTCCTTCCCAACACCCGCAGAACTCTAGATACACGTTTTGTTTTTCTTTTTTTAAAATGCTGCTTCGGCGTTCTCGAAACCTGGTGGAATTATACTGCAGGAAAACACTGGCGCTCACGCACCGTAGCGTCTCTCAGCCTCAACAGAGCGATTCCAAAACTAACTCCGCAGTCCCTGGGCAAGGCAAGGAGGGAAATAAAACACCCGTCTCACGAAAGCCAACAGTGATGGGAACAGCCAGCCCACCGAGCCCAGCGAGACCCGAGTGCCCCGCGCGTCCCCCAGGTGCCCTTGGAGGCAGCGGCACGCGGACGAGGCCGCGCCCGGTCCCAGCGGACTCCAGTTCCGCCCGCCGGCCCCATCCTTCCCTCTCCTGTCCCCGGGACCCGCCGGGCTAGCCAGGCCCGCCGCGCCGGCTCCGCCCCTGGCCGGGCCCCGGATTCTCCGCCTTGATGCAACGCTGCCCCGGGAGGGCGGGTGCGGCAGAGCCCGGAGAGCCCTGGGGCCCCCAGCAAGGCCCTCCTCCCACAGGCCCCAAAGGCTGGCGCGGGAGTGGGCGCTGGCGCGGGAGTGGGCACTGCCGCAGCACCGACCAGGCCTGCGGCCGGGGTCTGGCCCGAGCGAACGCCGCCTGCTGCTCTCACCTGCGTTCCCACTACGACGATTTGAGGCAGCTGGATGATGTCGGCGCCCACCGTGTTGAAGACGTCCTGGAGCTTGTTTATGACAGGAATTAGCGCCTCCATGACTCTGAAAACACGGGGCCCCAGTGCCCGCCGGCCACGGCAATGAATGGGGCCGGGGCCCACAGTTCGCCTCCTTCCTCCTCTCCTCCGCCCTCTCCTCGGAAGCCGGCACCCATTGGACCGGGCCCGCCGGCTACCTGCCCCCTCCCGGCAGGCCATGCGCTGCGAGGGAGGTGGAGAGGAGCAAGGCCTGCTGGGAGTTGTAGTTCTGGAGCGGAGGAACGCTACTCCCCACAGCTTCCAGGAGGCTGCGCGGCACCGGTGGGCCCTAGCCTGGGACTGGGATGCTGCGCAGGCTCTAGTCAAAGGCTAGGAGCAGGCCGGGAGCGCAGGAGGAAGGCCGTAAATTTATGCCTGTCCTCAAGGCACGATGGATGTGACAGTGCTGGGTGTGAATATGTGTTAAAGGCGCAATGGTGTGTCTCTTAATTATCCAGTGTCACTTCCTTTTATTTATTTTTTATTTATTTATTTTTTTTTTTTTTTTGAGACGGAGTCTCACTCTGTCGCCCAGGCTGGAGTGCAGTGGCGCGATCTCGGCCCACTGCAAATTCCGCCTCCCGGGTTCACGCCATTCTCCTGCCTCAGCCTTCGGAGTAGCTGGGACTACAGGCACCCACCACTACGCCCGGCTAATTTTTTGTATTTTTAGTAGAGACGGGGTTTCACTGTGTTTTCCAGGATGGTCTCGATCTCCGGACCTAGTGATCCACCCGCCTCGGCCTCCCAAAGTGTTGGGATTACAGGCGTGAGCAGTGTGACTTCCTTATGAAGACACTTTCTCTAGAAGGACGGGTTGGAAAGGCTTAAAGAAAAGCTTATGGCCGCAAACAACCAAACTGGGTGCAAAAAAATCTGCACGCTGATACGAGAATGTGTGGGGTGTTATTTTGCAAAAATACAAAAACCAGCCCAGGTTAGAATACGCGGGTTCTCCAGGGGTTTTGTAAACAAACAAACAAACAAACAAAATGTGTGTTCAGGACCGAGCGCGGTGTAATCCCAGCACTTTAGGAAGCAGAAGCAGGAGGATCGCTTGAGCTGGGAGTTCGAGACCAGCCTGGTCAACATAGTGAGACCTCATCTCTACCAAATAAATAAATAAATAAATAAAAAAGCAGGGGTCGGAGCAGCGGGGGGCGGTGTTCATGAAAAAAATCTTAGAGTATTGGAGTTTTACAGGGGAAGAGCTGGGCATTTATTATCAATATTATGTATAAACCTTTATTTGCTGTAGCCTGATTCCTGGCAAAGTAGACATCTGATAACTGCCTTACTCACTCTTTGCTCATACCGTTCTTTTTTTTTTTTGAGACAGAGTCTGACTCTGTCGCCCAGGCTGGAATGCAGTGGCGCAATCTCGGCTCACTGCAGCCTCCTCCTCCCAGGCTGAAGTGATTCTCCTGCCTCAGCCCCCCAAGTAGCTGTTATTACAGGCACCCGCCACCACCCTGGGAAAATTTTTGTATTTTTAGTAGAGACGGGTGGGGGGCGGGGTTTCACCATGTTAGCCAGGCTGGTCTCGAACTCCTGACCTCAAGTGATCCGCCCATCTTGGCCTCCCACAGTCCTGGGATTACAGGCCTGAGCCACCATGCCCGGCCCATACTGTTATATTTCTAAATGTTGTTTTTCTTTTTAGACAGATAGTATCCCTCCTCTACTCCAAACCTCCAAAGGTAAAAGTAAACCTCAAAGTAAAAAGGTGACATTTGAGTAAAGAATTAAAGCAGGTGAGGAGAGGCCAGGCACCGTGGCTCACGCCTGTAATTCCAGCACTTTGGGAGGCCAAGGCAGGCGGATCACTTGAGGTCAGGAGTTCAAGACCAGCCTGACCAACATGGAGAAACCCCGTCTCTACTAAAAATACAAAAATTAACCGGGCGTGGTGGTGCATTCCTGTAATCCCAGCTACTCAGGAGGCTGAGGCAGGAGACGGGCAGATCACTTGAGGTCAGGAGTTCAAGGCCAGCCTGGGCAACACGGCAAAACCCAGTCTCTACAAAAAATACAAAAAAATTAGCTTGCCTGTCGTGGTGGTGCATACCTGTGGCCCCAACTACTTGGGAGGCTGCAGTAGGAGGATCACCTAAGCTTGGGAGGTGGGGACTGCAGTGAACTGTGATCGTGCCACCGCACTCCAGCCTAAGTGACAGAGTGAGGCCCTGTGTCAAAAAAAAAAAAAGAGAAAAGAGAAAAGAAAACATAATAAGAGCACTTTTTCCAGTCTGAGCAAGAGGATAGAGATTCGAGAAAGACTTCCTAGAAGTTACTAAATTTAATCTCCATGAGGACAAGAACCACCAGCAGTAGTGGAAGTTGTGCACTACGCAACTCCAGTGGGTGCCATTCACCTGCTTAGCTGTACACAATGGCTGCGGGGAACATGCTTGATTTGTTCAGCAGGACAAATGGCAGGTGCTTAATAAATATCTGTGAACAAATGGATGAAGTAAGCCAAGACCTAAAGATCCATTAGTGGTGTTTTGGCATCTTGACAGGTTTTGTGAACATCTCCTCTTTGATTATTTTCAAAAAAAAAATTTTTCAGAGATAAAATAAGACAAAAATTTCAGAACTCCAAAAAACAGTTTTATTCCAAGTCTCTTGACTTTCTACCAAAGATAATATTACATAATAGTCAGATATTACCCACTTTGCTTCTCACCCCTCTGTTGATGGAGCTTTTGTTTTCTTCTAAAGAAAACAGAAGGCCGGGCACGGTGGCTCATGCCTGTAATCCCAGTACTTCAGGAGGCCAAGGTGGGCATATCACCTGATGTCGGGAGTTCAAGACCAGCCTGACCAACATGGAGAAACCCCATCTCTACTAAAAATACAAAAATTAGCTGGGCGTGATGGTGCACGCCTGTAATCCCAGCTACTCGGGAGGCTGAGGCAGGAGAATTGCTTGAACCCGGGAGGCAGAGGTTGCGGTGAGCCGAGATTGCACCATTGCATTCCAGCCTTGGCAACAGGAGCAAAACTCCGTCTCAAAAAAAAAAAAAAAAAAAAAGAGCCAGGCCCGGTGGCTCACGCCTGTAATCCCAGCACTTTGGAAGGCCGAGGTGGGCGGGTCACCTGAGGTCAGGAGTTCAAGACCAGCCTGACAAACATGGTGAAACCCCATCTCTACTAAGAATACAAAAAAAAAATTAGCCTGGTGTGGCGCGTGCCTGTAATCCCAGCTACTCGGGAGGCTGAGGCAGGAGAATCGCTTGAACCCGGGAGGCAGAGGTTGCAGTGAGCCGAGATCGCGCCACTGCACTCCAGCCTGGGCGGCAAGAGCAAAACTCCAACTAAAAAAAAAAAAAAAGAAGAAAAAAAACCAATTTCGGCTTTCATGTTTTAAGTTCAGAACACTCTTGTTTGTGGGAAATCAATTTAACTAATAAGTGGCTAAATGGATTTCCCACAAAAAAGAGTCTTTGTGCATCTAAGAATAATGTGTTCTTCAGTGGCTTCCTGTGGGAATCACATTAAACCATTATCGGATATCAAAAGGCCTTTAAAAAAACCTCTTCTCGGCCAGGTGCGGTGCCTCACACCTGTAATCCCAGCACTTTGGGAGGCCGAAGTGGGTGGATCACGAGGTCAGGAGATGGAGACCATCCTGGCTAACACGGTGAAACCCCGTCTCTACTAAAAATACAAAAAATTAGCCAGGCGTGCTGGCACGCGCCTGTAGTCCTAGCTACTGGGGAGGCTGAGGCAGGAGAATTGTTTGAACCTGGGAGGCAGAGGTTGCAGCAAGCCAAGATCGCGCCACTGCACTACAGCCTGGGCAACAGAGTGAGACTCTATCTCAAAAAAAAAAAACAACAACAACAAAAAACACCTCTTCTCCTGCAACCATCCCTCTCTCACCATAGCTTTATGATTTAGGCAGGATAGCTAATTGTAAGGACAGAAATTTAATTCTGAGCTAACTTGCCTCAAAAATGACTGAATGTCTGGGCGCAGTGGCTCTAGCCTGTAATCCAAGCACTTTGGGAGGCCGAGATGGGTGGATCAGTTGGGGTCAGGAGTTCAAGACCAGCCTGGCCAACATGGTGAAACCTCGTCTCTACTAAAAACACAAAAATTAGCTGGGGGTGGTGGTGAGAGCCTGTAATCCCAGCCACTCGGGAGGCTGAGGCAGGAGAATTGCTTGAACCCGGGAGGCGGAAGTTTCAGTGAGCCAAAATCACGTCACCGCATTCCAGCCTGGGTGACACAGTGACACTCCACCTCAAAAAAAAAAATGACTGGAACTAGGAGCTCAGGCAGAATCAGAGCTCTACATCTTATCACTACATCGTCTATTTCATTCTCTCACGCAGTTTACTCCTGTGGAATGAGGTGAGTGTGCTGTGGGGGAGGGTGTAGGGGATCTCATTCAGCAAGCTGTCTCACAGCAGATGAGGCAGAGAGAACTGGGGAGGAACTGAAACCTAGGAACCTGGTTTCTGCCTTGCTTCTCTAGTATATTAGTTCCCTATTGCTGCCTTAACAAATTACCACAATTTTAGTGGCTTAAAACAACAAAAATGTGGCCAGGCGCAATGGCTCACTTCTGTAATCCCAGCACTTTGGGAGGCCGAGGCGGGCGGATCACGAGTTCAGGAGATTGAGACCATCCTGGCTAACATGGTGAAGCCCTGTCTCTAGTAAAAATACAAAAAATTAACCGGGCGTGGTGGCGGGTACCTGTAGTCCCAGCTACCCGGGAGGCCGAGGCAGGAGAATGGCGTGAACCTGGGAGGCAGAGCTTGCAGTGAGCCAAGATCACGCCACTGCACTCCAGCCTGGGCAACACAGTGAGACTCCATGTCAAAAAAAAAAAAAAAGTATTGTTTTACAGTTCTATAGTTCAGTAGTCTCACACAGGTCTCACTGGACTAAAATCAAGGTGTCACCAGGGCTGCAAACCCTCCTAAAGCCTCTAGCAGGGAATTCACCTCCTTGCCTTTGTTAGGGGCCCCCTGCATTCCTTGCTGGTTACCTCCTTCCAACCTCTTCAAAGCCAGCAATGTCGCATCTCTTTAACTCTTCTGCTGTCATCAGGCCTCTGACCCCCAGAAAAGCTTCTCTGTGTTTAAGGGCCCATCATTAGATTGGCCAACCTGGACAACCCAGGATAATATCCCTGTCTCAAGGCCTGTACCCTTAATCACATCTACAGAGTCTCTCCTGAGACATAAAGTTCACAGGCTCCAGGGATTAGGACATGGACTTATTGGAGGGGCCTACTGCACCTGGTTAAGGTGATTGGTCTAGGGATGGACCTGCAGGACCATTTAGAATCCTTCTCTGAGAATTTCCTAACCTGAATTTGAACAAAAATATTTTCTCTCTCTGGTTATAGAACTGTAAGCATGTGAGTCAATGTCTCCAAAGATCATGTTTCCTATCTCATGGAATAAATTGGTTTGCAAGAATAAACTTCTTTATTCACCTTGAAGAACTTCCCCAAATTCAGTAACTTACCCATATATATACATATATATATATATTTTTTTTTTTTTTTGAGACAGAGTCTTGCTCTATCACCCAGGCTGGAGTGCAGTGGTGCAATCTCAGCTCACTGCAAGCTCCGCCTCCTGGGTTCACGCCATTCTCCTACCTCAGCCTCCCGAATAACTGGGACTACAGGCGCCCACCGCCACACCCGGCTAATTTTTTGTATTTTTAGTAGCGATGGGGTTTCACCATGTTAGCCAGGATGGTCTTGATCTCCTGACCTCGTGATCTGCCCGCCTCAGCCTCCCAAAGTGCTGGGATTACAGGCATGAGCCACTGCGCCTGGCCAACTTTCCCATATTTTTAAATGTACATGTGCTGTACAGCACATAACATCAGAATTCTAATCCCCATAGTTAACCATATGAATTTCTCCATTTTTCCTTGTTGCCCTTTTCACACAATATTATTGAACTATTATTTAAGTGCTTATTGTATGTGAGGCACTATACTAAGCATTTTATCAGAGCCTCGTGAAGTAGGTTTAGAGATGTAGAAACGGAGGCTCCAGGGATTGAAGTGAAGTGGTAAATTTACACAGCTAGTATGTGGCAGAGATGGGATGAAAAGGGGCTTTTTGGCAAACCCCCTTTTTTTTCTTTTTTTTGAAACAGTCTTACTCTGTCGCCACAGTGGTGCGATCTCAACTCACTGCAACCTCTGCCTCCCAGGTTCAAGCAATTCTCCTGTCTCAGCCTCCCCAGTAGCTGGAACTACAAGCGCACACCGCCTCGCCAGGCTAATTTTTGTATTTTTAGTAGAGACTGGGTTTCACCATATTGGTCAGGCTGGTCTTAAACTCCTGACCTCAGGTGATCCACCCGCCTCGGACTCCCAAAGTGCTGGGATTACAGGTGTGAGCCACCATGCCCGGCAGCAAACTCTCAACCGCTACACATTCTGCCTCGTGTATTTATTCCTTTCTTCATTAATTCAACACATATTGATGAAGTACTTGTTAGGCATACGGATCTTAGCCAGGCAGTATATTTTGCTGGAGAGTAGGGAGGAACCGTGGATATGGCACTAACATGCCCTCCCCCTTCACCAATAGTGAGCTCACGAAGGGCAGAAGTGATTATCTTATTTAGCTGGGTTCCCCCACTACCTCGTATGAAGCGTGTTACATAATATTAGTCTACTGGATATGGGGTTTTCTTTTCTTTTTTATTTGGAAAATCTGGAATAACAAGGATTTAAGCAGCTCTGAATTGATATAATTGCAACCAGGACTGGCAATCAAATCTCACCAACACATATGAGTCTGGCTTGGCATAGGACTCCTCATTAGAATAGATGCCAAGTTACTTAGCTAGGGAGTAGCCTGGCTTTGTTCTAACTTAAAATCCCGAATTAGAGGAAGTTTATTTTGGATTAAATTAATAACTGGAAATTAATCGATCTTGGAAAAGGTCAGACTGTTTTTATCGCATGTGTCCAATATCATTTTATGCCAACATTTTGATCATCAATCACAGCCAAGATGCCGGTATCTGCACCTTCAAATCATAGCGGTTAGTGGGGATCTAATGTTAATATAAAATATACAGCTCTGTTGGGGAAGCCTCTTTGTCATATTTTGGAAACTGCCCGTGTTTTGCAAAGATGATAAAGTAAACAGCTTTAATCAATTTGCTACTCCCCAGGCCTCAAGCTTAACACATACTTTGTTAGCAGGTGCAGGAAATTGTTTGCAGATGGTGGAATTGGCCAGATGGTTCAGAAGCCAGAAATTGAATCTGGTGAGATACTGACGGGACCATGAGAGGGCAGTGTGACAACACAATTAAGAGCAGTTAACGACAAAATAACTTGGGAGTTAAGATATGGTCCTGATTTCTTCCCTTTGCTCCACACCCACACCCCAATAGAACGTAGCCCTTCTTTTTATCCTCCTACCATCAAAATTTGTGGCATATTTTAGAAACTATTTGAGATAATAGAGTTATTTTATTTATATTTATATATTTATTTTTGAGATCAAGTCTCGCTCTGTAGCCCAGGCTGGAGTGCAGTGGCACAATCTCAGCTCACTGCAACCTCTGCCTCCTGGGTTCAAGGGATTCTCCCACCTCAGCCTCCCAAGTAGCTGGGATTACAATAGGCGTGGGCCACTCGCCAGCTAATTTTTGTATTTTGTTTATTTATTTTTTTGAAAGACAGAGTTTCGCTCTTGTTGCCCAGGCTGGAGTGCAATGGCATGATCTCAGCTCACCGCAACCTCTGCCTCCCGGGTTCAAGTGATTCTCCTGCCTCAGCCTCCCGAGTAGTTGGGATTACAGGTATGCACCACCACGCCCGGCTAATTTTGTATTTTTTTAGTAGAAACGGGGTTTCTCCATGTTGGTCAGGCTGGTCTCGAACTCCTGACCTCAGATGATCCGCCCTGAGGTGTTAGCTAGACATCCAAAGTGCTGGGATTACAGGTGTGAGCCACTGCGCCCGGCTGTATTTTCAGTAGAGACAGGGTTTTGCCATGTTGGCCAGGCTGGCCTCAAACTCCTGACCTCAGGTGATCCGCCCATCTTGGCCTCTGAAAGTGCTGGGATTACAGGCATGAGCCACCACGCCCAGCAATAGTGATTTTAAATTACAGCAGTGACAACTGAAAATTATATGTTAGACATCCCTGCATTTAAACTACTTCACTTGCCCCATTTCTCAAGCCTTCTCATTAGCCTCTTTACAACTCTACTCCAGGTTCTCAAATGTTGTTTGACATTCTTAGAAGCTTTTCATATCTCCCTTCTCTGTTTTTCTGTTTTTTGTCTCCCTCACACAAACTCAATTTGCTCATATTTGATGGTGAAGAGAAATTTCACTTTTAGCCCTTGGTTAGCTGCTACCTTTGCAGATCTAAAGGCTCCCTAGTACACTATGACAAACAAAAGGGACACCTACTCTGGGACGCAAGATCATGGGAAGCATGACGTGGTTCTGGACTTAATGGTTCTGATGATATTTTCCTGATTCTCAGATAACAGTCGAGATAAAAAGATCCCGAGAGCCAGCTGTCGCTTATGATAAATATACAGTAACTTCTGGTGTACTGATTTTGTGACATTGTTCGGGAAGTAATTCCTGGATGTCTAGCTAACACCTGTTTTTCCCAGGCACTCTAACAGATTTATAAGCATCTAATTTCCCATATTAAATATCTTTCGGGCCGGGTGTGGTGGCTCACGCCTGTAATCCCAGCACTTTGGGAGGCCAAACAGGCAGATCACTGAGGCCAGGAGTTCGAGACTAGCCTGGCAACATGGCAAAACCCCATCCCTACTAAAAATACAAAAATTAGCTGGGCATGGAGCTGCACGGCTGTAGCTCCAGCTACTCGAGAGGCTGAGGTGGGACAATTGCTTGAACCCAGGAGGCAGAGGTTGTAGTGAGCCGAGATTGCACCACTGCACTGCAGCCTGGGCAACCGAGCAAGACTGTCAAATGAATGAATGAATCTCTTTCTGCATAAACTTGGTGGTGGAATATATTTGTTTCCTGGGGCTGCTGTAACAAAGTACCACTGACTGGTTGGTTTAGAACAGCAGATATGTATTGTCTCACAGTTCTGGAAGCTAGAAGTCCAAGACCAAGGTTCCCAAGGATTGGTTCCTACTGTAAGACACAATGAATTTCTCTGAGTTTCTCTTCAAAAATTTAGACTACTAACTTCCTTGTCTTTTGTTCTCAAACTCAACTTTCCTGTTCTTCCTTGCCCCTAGTTACTGTAAAACAGCCTACCCCTTTCATATCAGCTCTAATCAATAACTCACATCTGTTCCCTTGGTTACCTGCACCCATCTAATGTTCCCCCAAAACTGCACGTCTCACACACTCCACCTCTGTACCTCATGTCCCCCTCCCCTTCTATATTTAAAAAAATATATACAAGTAGCCAATCAAGTCAGCTCAGATTGTGCAGTCCAACCCCAGCCCATGGGGTAGGGACATAGAAGTAAAGATTGCATTAAAGATAGAAAAAAACCCTGGTCTCCTTTGTTCTCTGTGCCCTTACGATCTTGATTGATGCAGGTAGCACCCTTCTGCAGAAGTAAATTGCCTTGCTGAGATAATTAAACTTTTGCCTAAGTGCTAGTTTTACTTCACTGCACCAAGCATTTATTCCTAGAACATTTTTACATCCAACACTACTGAGGGCTGTAAGGGAGAATCTGTCATGCCTCTCTCCTAGTAGTTAGCACTTGGTGACTCCAAGCATTTAATGGCTTGTAGCAGCATAACTCCAGTCTCTGCTTCTATCTTCACATGGCATCTTCTTTGTGTGTGTGTGTGTGTGTGTGTGTGTATGTGTGTGTGTGTGTGTGTGTGTTTGAGACAGGGTTTCACTCTTGTCACCCAGGCTGGAGTGCTATGGCGTGATCTCGGCTCACTGCAACCTCCACCTCCCAGGTTCAAACAATTCTCCTGCCTCAGCCTCCTGAGTAGCTGGAATTACAGGCACCCACCACCAAATCCAGCTAATTTTTGTATTTTTTTAGTAGAGACGGGGTTTCACCATGTTGGCCAAGATGGTCTCAAACTCCTGACCTCGTGATCTGCCTGCCTTGGCCTCCCAAAGTACTGGAATTACAGGCATGAGCCCCCGTGCCCAGCCTCTTCTTCCTGTGTGTGTTCACATCATCTCCATATCCAGATTTCCTTCTTTTTTTTTTTTTTTTTTTGAGATGGAGTCTCGCTCTGTTGCCCAGGCTGGAATGCAGTGGCGTGATCTCGGCTCACTGCAAGCTCCACCTCCCGGGTTCATGCCATTCTCCTGCCTCAGCCTCCCAAGTAGCTGGGACTACAGGCGCCCGCTACCACACCCAGCTAATTTTTTTGTATTTTTTTAGTAGAGAGGGGGTTTCACCGTGTTAGCCAGGATGGTCTCGATCTCCTGACCTCGTGATCCACCTGCCTCGGCCTCCCAAAGTGCTGGGATTACAGGCGTGAGCCACCGCGACCAGCCTCTTCTGCTTCTTATAAGGACACCAGTTCTATCAGATCACCCTTATGACGTTTAACCTTAATTAAGTCTATAAAAGCCATGTCTCCAAATATAGTCACTTTGGGAGTTAGGGCTTCTTCGACATATGAATTTTGCGGGGGTAGGGTAGGGAAGACACAACTCAGTCCCTAGCAATATCATTAAATGAGTAATGTAATCTATAAAAAGCTCCTCACCTCTGATCATGCTCCCCAGATGGGAACCACTGTAAACATCTTTCTGTTCTTCATACTATTCACTGGTTTGGACAAACATATAAATTAGAGCATACACACATGTAGTTCTCTTTGATTTAACTTTTAGTGAAAAAAATCTCCTTCTCCCATAAGCTTTTTCCCTGCCACTTATCACTACATTATTGATAGCTTCTATATCAGTACATAAAAATCCCAAAATATTCTTTGCAAGAGCTGCCTAGTATTCTCTTGTAAGGATTATAATAATTTCACAGTTTTTCTCTTGGTAGATTATAGATAGCTTTGAATTTTTATTATGGAAAATGTTGCAGAAAATATCCTTGTAGATGTATATTTTCATACTTAATGTAAGTATTTCAGTAGGGTAGATTCCTAGAAGCAAAATTGCTGAGTCAAAAGGTATGCATCTTTGAAATCTGAATAGGTATTGCCAGTTTGCCCTCCAAAAAATTGTGCCAGTTTACATTACAGCAAAAGTATACAGGAGTATATGTTTCCCCACACTCACCCTAGAGTAGTTTCACTATTTTCAGTTTTGCTAATTTACAGCTTAAAAAGTTAAAGAAATGTTTTAGGCCGGGCGCGGTGGCTCACGCCTGTTATCCCAGCACTTTGGGAGGCTGAGGCAGGCGGATCACGAGGTCAGGAGATCGAGACCATCCTGGCTAACACGGTGAAACCCCGTCTCTACTAAAAATACAAAAAAATTAGCCAAGCGTGGGGGCGGGCGCCTGCAGTCCCAGCTACTCGGGAAGCTCAGGCAGGAGAATGGCGTGAACCCGGGAGGTGGAGCTTGTAGGGAGCCGAGATCGCGCCACTGCACTACAGCCTGGGCGATAGAGCGAGACTCTGTCTCAAAAAAAAAAAAAAGAAATGTTTTGAAAAACAATTATTTTCCCAAAAACAGGAATCATTGTTCTTATTTGTATTTCATGATTGGAGAATTCTTTAGTATATTTAGTATATTTTTTAGTATATTTGTATTTCATGATTGGAGAATTCTTTAGTATATTTAGTATTTTTTTAGTATTTTTCTTTTTTTTTTTTTGATAGGGTCTTAGTGTGTCCAGGCTGGAGGGCATGGACACAATCTCGGCTCACTGTGCTCACTGCAGCCTCACCCTCCTGGGCTCAAGTGATCCTCCCACCTCAGCCAACTGAGTAGCTGGGACTACAGGTGTGTGCCACCACGCTCAGCTAATTTTTTTTTGGTAGAGATATGGCTTCACCATGTTGCCCAGGCTGGTCTTGAACTCCTGGCCTCATGTGATCCACCCACCTTGGCCTCCTAAAGTGCTGGGATTATAGGCATTAGCCACCACACCTGGCCCAGTATTTATTTTTCTATGAATTGCCTATTTATATTCTTCGCCTACTTTTTTCCGTTACAATGATATTTCAAAACACTCATTTGTATGAGTTTCTTGTATTTATTGTGGTAAATATGCTTTGTTATATATGTTGCAAATATTTTCTGTCAATATCCCTTTTGTCCTTTAATTTTGATAATATTATTCCTAGCTGTATGGAAGTGAAGTTATAGGACCAAATCTGGTACATAATACAGGGCATGTGCGTTGGGGGTTAGAAATCAGTCTCCAAGAGTGAACACTGGACCAGGGCAGACACAAACCCTACAAATGCCTTCTCAGTGCCTAAGCGCAATGCTTAGAAGACCTTATCTGAAATCAGCCAGACTATTTGCCTGAATAAAAACTTTGAATCTTAGAAGAGGAGATTTTACTATGTTTATTAGTGAGACAGGACAATAGGGTCTGGAGGCAGGGGACCTAAGGCCAATTCAAGCCGACTTCCTAGAACTAAATCAAAAGGAAAACGCCAACTTTCCACACCTAAGTAACAAAAGGACCAGAGGCTACTCCCTTTGCAACTTCTCTCCCCCTTTTTTCTGCTCTCCCTTTACAACTGCCCTCCCCCTTTTTTCTGAGTGGCAGATGGAAAATTGAAAGTATGGTTTTAAATTGGTTGCTTTCTGCAACCAATCAGAAGTTTGCATAGGAGTGTAACTTTGTAACTTCACTTCAGCCTCTGATTGGTTTTGGAAAACAACCAATCAGACTTATTGCAGGCCACTACCTCATTTACTTTATTTTTATTTTATTTTTTGGAGACGGAGTCTCGCTCTGTCGCCCAGGCTGGAGTGCAGTGGCGTGATTTTGGCTCACGGCAACCTCTGCCTCCCGCGTTCAAGCAGTTCTTCTGCCTCAGGTCCCCCCTCCCGCCCCCACGCCCCCTGGTCCCCCCTCGCCCCGCCGCGGAGTAGCTGAGACCACAGGCACACGCTGCCACGCCCGGCTAATTTTTTTTTTATTTTAGTAGAGACGGGGTTTCACTGTGTTTCCCAGGCTGGTCCCTGCCTGCCTCAGCCTCCCAAAGTGCTAGGATTATAGGTGTGAGCCACCGCGCCCAGCCCACCACTTCATTTACATAGGGTGTATACAAAGTAACCAATGGGAAACCTCTAGAAGGTATTTAAAAGCCAGAAAATTCTGTAAGGGTGCTCTTGAGCCCCTATACTCTGGAGGCTCCCACTCTGTGGAGTATACTTTCATTTTCGATAAATCTCTGCTTTTGTTGCTTCATTCTTTCCTTCGTGTGTTTTGTCTAATTCTTTGTTCAAGACGCCAAAAACCTGGACACCCTTCATCGGTAACATTAGTACTTGTGCTGAACCCTCTAGCTACCTTACTTATGCACATGGGATCCACTAATGCCCAGGAGCTTTGGTTGAGACATCAGGACCTCCTGATGGACAGGAATTAAGAGAAGACTTGGTCTGCAGCATCAATCTTAAGCACTTGAAGGAAATATAGAAAAATTTAGAAAAATCTAAGTGACTATGTATATTATACATACAATCAATTATACTCACATATATATATATATATATATATACACACACACACACACGCACACACACATATATACACATACTCACATATACCAAATATAGGCTTTCCAAAGGCAAAAAGAGTCAGGGGAACCATGAATAAGAAAATAAGAACACTAGGAATTGCATGGTATTAGAGCCTAAAGGAACATTAGTAATTTTAATCATCTTAAATTTTAGTCCAACTGTAGTATTTTACAAATGAGGAAACCAGGGCTCAGAGAGGTTAAATGTTGGGCTCAACATCTCAGCTCCAGTTACAGCAGAGAGAGAACCAGAACTCAGTTCTATTCATGCTCAATTTGACAAAACCTCCCTGATTTAGGAGTTCCTTGCATCTCTGGATGAAAAAAAAAACAAAAAAAACTCAGGCCGGGCACAGTGGCTCACACCTATAATCCCAGCACTTTGGGAGGCCAAGACAGGTGGATTACCTGAGTTCAGGACTTCAAGACCAGCCTGGCCAAAATGGTGAAACCCCATCTCTACTAAAAAAAAATACAAAAATTAGCTGGGTGTAGTGGTGGGCGCCTGTAATCCCAGCTACTTGGGAGTCTGAGGCAGGGGAATTGCTTGAACCCAGGAGATGGAGGTTGCAGTGAACAGAGATCGTGCCATTGTACTCCAGCCTAGGCAACAAGAGTGAAACTCCGTCTCAAAACAACAACAACAACAAAACAACAACAACAAAAAACCACTGGGCTCAGTGGCTCACACCTGTAATCTCAGCACTTATGGGCGGATGACTTGAGGCCAGGAATTCGAGACCAGCCTAGCCAACATGGCAAAACCCCATCTCTCCCAAAAATCCAAAAATTAGCCGGGTGCAATGGCGCACACCTGTAGTCCCAGCTATGCGGGAGGCTGAGGCATGAGAATCACTTGAACCCAGGAGGCGGAGGTTGCAGTGAGCAGAGATCGCGCCACTGCACTCCAGCGTGGGCGACAGCAAGACTCCGTCTCAAAAACAAAAAAAAAAACAAAAAAAAAAAAAACAAAACAAAAAACAAAACCAACTCATACATTTTAAAATGTGACTTTGAGCAGAATTTGTTTAAATTTGGTAAGTTACTAATTAGGCTTTCAAAATTATTTTCTGTCATGTCTGAAACCCAGCTGCACTCTTTGGTAGGTCATCCCAAGCTCTGACATCGACCCAAAGACCCTAGAAGCATCTTTGAGTTTCACCCACAGATTCCGACTTCCCCAGGCCTCCCCTTACTGAGATTATCAGCTCCCAGGATTAGCAATTCAGAGCTGCCTGAGGCATACACCTCTGGCCTGCTAAACTATTCAGGTTCTCCAAAAGCCACTTTCCTGCCCTCCCTCCCACCCACCTTGCCAACTGTGTGTTGTAGATTTCACATCTCACTTTCCAAGTCTTATTATAAAACATTAGCATGTTGACAAGCAGTTACCTTTAGATGACCTTTAGAACACACCCAAACGAGAATGTGTCGTCAAGCTGGAAGCTTCTCTGCAGCCTGTTTGTAGACTTTTTTCACTTCAAAGAAACAGTGGAAATGAATTTAAAAATTAAAATGTATCGTATAGGGCCGGGTGCAGTGGCTCACGCCTGTAATCCCAGCACTTTGGGAGGCCAAGGCGGGCAGATCACCTGAGGTCAGGAGCTCGAGACCAGCTTGACCAACATGGCGAAACCTGGTCTCTACTAAAAATACAAAATTAGCCAGGTGTGGTGGTGCACACCTGTAATCCCAGCTACTCGGGAGGCTGAGGCAGGAGAATCGCTTGAACCAGGGAGGCAGAGGTTGCAGTGAGTCGAGATCACGCCACTGCACTCCAGCCTGGGCGACAGAGACTCTGCCTCAAAAACAAACAAGCAAACAAAATGAATCGTATAAAGGTAAATTATAAAATGAAGGGGAGATAAAAGTCATCTGGCTGGGCACAGTGGTTTACAACCTGTAATCTCAGCACTTTGGGAGGTGGACGTGGGAGGATTGCTTGAGCCCAGGAGTTAAAGACCAGTCTGGGAAACATAATGGTACCCCATCTCTATAAATAATTTAAAAATTAACTGGGCATGGTGGTACATGCCTATAATCCCAGCTACTCAAGAGGCTGAGGTGGGAGAATCACCTGAGCCCAGGAGGTTGAGGCTGCAGAGAGCTGTGATTACGCCACTGCACTCGAGCTTGGGCAACAGAGCGAAATCCTGTTTAAAAAAAAAAAATATATATATATATATATATATATATATATATATATATATATACTATAAAAGTCACCTAAACTCTTCTGACACCTCATCAAACCCTTTTCCCTAGAGGTAACTACCATTAACTTAGGTATGGCCAGGCGCGGTGACTCACGCCTGTAATCCCAGGCCGAGGTGGGCAGATCACGAGGTCAAGAGATCGAGACCATCCTGGCCAACATGGTGAAACCCCATCTCTACCAAAAACACAAAAATTAGCTGGGCGTGGTGATGCATGCCTGTAGTTCCAGCTACTTGGGAGGCCGAGGCAAGAGAATCACTCGAACCCAGGAGGTGGAGGTTGCAGTGAGCTGAGATAGCACCACTGCACTCCAGCCTGGTGACAGAGCGGGACTCCATCTCAAAAAAAAATAAAATAAAATACAAATAAATAAATAAAAGGCTTGACAGAGTGCCAACATAATGAAATGTGCCCAATAATAGTAGCTGTTACTATCCAGTGTGGGCCTTGAAGCTAAGGTACGTCTGGGCTTAAAATCTGCCTCTGCCACCCCTTACTTAATATGTCCCTGAGGAATTCTAAGTTTCTGAGCCTAAATTTCCTCATCCTACCTTACTGGATTGCAAGGAGTAAACAGATGCTTAGCATAGTTCCCAAAACATGGTAGATAGAAGCACTTAGCACCTTGTTTGGGTCTTTGAATGGAGCATGCATCAGCTACTTCCCTCTTTCCTTCCCAGCTCGCCACTGCACAGATGAGGTGTGTTTAAACTCCAGTATAGGAGTATTGAAGAGAGGTTTTGAAGTCAGAACACTTGTGTCCTTTTTTCACTGTTAAATCTTTTAAAGTCCCTTCTACAGGGTCAGCCTTACCCAACAGCTCACAAGGAATATGAGATGTAATGAAATAGTGATAAAATATATTCAGATTTGAATGTTAATCACTCAATCATTTACACAAAACAAAACCAAAACACCCCACAGGGGACTACTTTCTTTAAGGCACACATTTTCTTAGTTTCTTTAGTTATCAAATAGTAACTAACATCAGTTATATTTCCCTGTTGTATTTACAAGTTCAATAAGAACACTAATCATAATAACATGTTGTGGGGATGGGGAGTGGTTACTGGAGGCTCTTTTTTTTTTTTTTTTTTTTTTCTTGAGACGGAATCTCGCTCTGTCACCCAGGCTAGAGTGCATGGTGCCATCTTGGCTCACTGCAACCTCCGCCTCCCAGGTTCAAGTGATTCTCCTGCCTCAGCCTCCTGAGTACCTGGGATTACAGGCATGTGCCACCACGCCCGGCTAAGTTTTGTATTTTTAGTAGAGACGGGGTTTCACCATGTTGGTCAGGCTGGTCTCAAACTCCTGACTTCATGATCCGCCTGCCTCAGCCTCCCAAAGTGCTGGGATTACAGGCGTGAGCCACCGCGCCTGGCCTGGAGGCTCTTAATCATGGCCCAAGGGAATGGCAAAGCTGAGGAAATACCTTAAGGAGTTGTTAGACAGCGAAGGGAGGAGGAGCAGGACGATGGCATCAGGAGCTGGTCCCTCCTGATGCTAACAGAGGAAAGGCTCCATTTGCTCAGTGCGTTGACCTGACTCAGGGCAAACTGACTCTGCACAATTGCAATTCATGTGGCAGGTGCAGCTTGCCCAGTGGCCGAGGTCACTCCTACAGCGGCCCAGGCATCAGGCCCTGGTGTTAGCTATTTATAGTTACACCTTCTACGTGGTGTCCCAGGAGCATTTCCTAGATGAGCTGGAAGATGAGGCCAAAGCTGTCTGAACCCAAGCTCTGGCAAGGGCGTCAGCACCTCAATCTGGATGGGCATTGCACATCTCTGACCTGCTGCAGCCCCTTCATATGGTGGATGACGCCCCACAACCCTGTAGAAATTGAAGCCTGCTCATAACATCACTGGCCTTCTTACCAACCTTGAGCCATGACAGAGCCCAGGAAGCCAGGAACTCACACATTTGGCCACTATCAAGGGAACATTGCCCTCCTCACACTCACTGCGTGCAGTGATTGAGCCCTTCTTGTAGTTTGTCTTCTTGTTTGAAGGATGTACAACCTAATCTTAGTTTTTCCCAAAGTTTCTGACTTTGTGATACACCCTCTTCACTTCCCAGTGGCACAACTGTTATGGGGGTAGGTGTGGCAGCTCTGAGCAGTGTTGGAGTCAAAAGTGGGAAAGATAGGGTCAAGTTAAGAATAATAAACTTGACTGGGCGCGGTGGCTCATGCCTGTAATCCCAGCACTTTGGGAGGCCGAGGCGGGCGGATCACCTGAGGTCAGGAGTTTGAGACCAGCCTGGCCAGCGTGGCAAAACCCGGTCTCTACTAAAAATACAAAAATTAGCCGGGCACGGTGGCGGGTGCCTATATTCCCAGCTACTCAGGAGGCTGAGGCTGGAGAATTGCTTGAACCTGGGAGACGGATGTTGCAGTGAGCCGAGATCGCGCCACTGCACTCCAGCCTGGGTGACAGAGTGAGACTCCGTCTCAAAAAAAAAAAAAAGAATGAACTTGACTCACCCCCGCCCCCGCCAAAAAAGATGTTAAATTACACTAGAGAAATAGAGATGGCTCTGGAAAAGTTTAGCAATCATGGTGCAAGGCCACTTAAGGACAGGGATTTTCAAACAGCAGATCACGCACCATGTTCCCAGTCCACTGGTATTGAGGCTATTTTTATCTCTCCGTGAGTTCCCAGATTTCATACTAGAGATAAGGCATCACTTTGCTCCAGGGACCTTATTACTAAAGATTCACCCACTACATACTAAGAATCTAAGGCAGTTACTCAGGGCCCAGGAAACTTTCTGGTCAGATGCCATCATCGTTCCACTTGGACCTGAGGGAAGCAGAGCACTGGACAGGGGGACAGGAGAAAAGAAGACAGGGTTGCAGAGAAAGTCACAGCTGACAATCTTGGCTGTCCTCCATCCCTGTCTGAGGAGTGGCGGGAGTGGGGGAATGGGTAGCCAGAGAAGTGGAGGCTCTGGAGCGGGGCTTCCCAACCTCGGCACCATTGACATTTTGGGCCAGATCATTGTTTGGGGGGCTGTACTGTGCCTCCTGGGATGTTTAGCAGCTTCCCTGGCCTCTACCCACAAGATGCTAGTAACACTACCTCCCCATCACCACTCCGTTTGTGACAAACAAAAATGTCTCCAGACTTTGCCACATGTCCCCAGGTGGGGAAGAAAGGGGAGGTAGGAAACCAGGTTGGGAACCACACTGCTCTGTCGTGTGAGAAGGCAAAGAACGGGAATACGACCTGGCCAGCTCCCAATTTCCTTTCTCCTTTATAAACATTTGGCTGTTTTAGAAAGCCTTTTTATGGATCTCTTAATTCCTTTCTCTTTTCCAGCCAGATAGCTATCTTTGCTTTCAGTCTAGACAGCCCACAACAGGCTGAGGCTTACCTGAGAGCCTCTCAGTGAAGCCTGTGGAGCTGGGTGGACAGCAGGAGGGTGTGCTGTCACAGGGAGCAGGCAGAGCACTGAAGTCTTGGCTGCACAGGGCTGTGGTACTGCGCCTGAGTGCAACCCTTAAGACTAATGGCCTTTCCTCAACTTTATCACAATGGTTCATAAAAATGGGGACCAGGGGCCGGGTGTGGTGGCTCACACCTGTAATCCCAGCACTTTGGGAGGCCAAGGTGGGTGGATCACCTGAGGTCAGTAGTTCGAGACCAGCCCAGCTAACATGGCGAAACCCTGTCTCTACTAAAAATACAAAAATTAGCAGGGCATGGTGGCACAGCCCTGTAGTTGCAGCTACTCGGGAGGCTGAGGCAGGAGAATTGCTTGAATCCGGGAGGCAGAGGTTGCAGTGAGCCGAGATCATGCCACTCAGCCTTGGTGACACAGCAAGACTCATCTCAATAATAAATAAATAAATAAATAAATAAATAAATAAATAAATAATTTTTAAAAATGGGGATGAGGGACAGGCAAAAAAATGGAATGAGTGAGAATCACTTGGGAGAAAATTATACACCCAAGCCCACCTGCCAGCATGCAGCCTCAGGCATATCAAATCCACAGGGCAGCAGGATGTGGGACAGATGTGTGTATTTCCGAAACACAGCTCACATGATTCTCAGATGTTGCTTCCTCCCACCCTCTCCTTCGAGTTGAATCACCTGCCAAAGGGGTTTTCTATGACATCTGCCCTTTATCACAGATGGAACTCTCAGTAACAAGTCAAAGATGTTTCTTGATGCATTATTTACAATGCTTACACTGAAAAACTGTGATGGAATATGAATGAAATTATTTCTATAAAGTTCCTAGAATAGTGGCTAGCAGATACTAAACCCTCAGGTTTTGGCTGTTACTGTGAAAACTGTTTTGGAAGGAGGGGAAGTGCTTAGGGTACAATTTAAATAAAACTAATAGGACCTCAGACTACAAACAGTGGATCTCTATTTTATTTTATTATTATTATTTTTTGAGACGGAGTCTCTCTTTGTTGCCCAGGCAGGGCAGTGGCACAATCTCCGTTCACTGCAGCCTCTGCCTCCCGGGTTCAAGTGATTCTTGTGCCTCAGCCTCTGGAGTAGCTGGGATTACAGGTGCCCACCACCATGCCTGGCTAATTTTTATATTTTTAGTAGAGACAGGGTTTCACCTTGTTGGCCAGGCTGGTCTTGAACTCCTGACCTCAGGTGATGCACCCGCCTTGGCGTCCCAAACTGCTGGGATTACAGGCGTGAGCTATGGCGCCCGGCCCGGATCTCTATTTTATTTTATTTTTTTGAGACGGAGTCTTGCTTTGTCGTCCAGTCGGGAGTACAATGGCGCGATCTCGGCTCACTGCCACCTCCGCCCCTTCAGGTTTAAGCAGTTCTCTGCCTCAGCCTCCCGAGTAGCTGGGATTACAGGCGCCCGCCACCATGCCCGGCTAATTTTTTGTATTTTTAGTAGAGACGGGGTTTCACCATCTTGGCCAGGCTGGTCTTGAACTCCTGACCTCCTGACCTGCCTTAGGCCTCCCAAAGTGCTGAGATTACAGGCGTGAGCCACCGCGCCCGGCCAGATCTCTATTTTATAAAGAGACACCTAGCCGGGCGCGGTGGCTCACGCCTGTAATCCCAGCACTTTGGGAGGCCGAGGCGGGCAGATCACGAGATCAGATCGAGACCGTCCTGGCTAAAACGGTGAAACCCCGTCTCTACTAAAAATACAAAAATTAGCGAGGCGTGGTGGAGGGCGCCTGTAGTCCCAGCTACTAGGGAGGCTGAGGCAGGAGAATCGCTTGAACCCGGGAGGCGGAGCTTACAGTGGGCCGAGATCGCGCCACTGCACTCCAGCCTGGGCTACAGAGCGAGACTCTGTCTCAAAAAAAAAAAAAAAAAAAAAAAAGAGAGAGAGAGAGACACCTATATAACACCTATATATGGGGGATCCCAGGTCAAGATTGAGCTGTGACAGTAGTCTATCCCTTGGATTCGGTCGTGAGTTCTATTGTGGATAAGGTTGGAGAAATTTGCTTTGATTTTTTTTTTTTTTTTTTTTTTTTTTTAAGAAAAGGAGAATAACAGAATCAAGGAGCAAGGGCAACTTGACCATGGGGCGGCCGCATTGTAGACTGTTCTTCCCAGCAGAGCAGGATAAGGGGGGCTGGCCGGGGAGCTGCCGGTGTTGCCATCCTGTAAGGGATGCTAAAGTATCAATGAGCACTTAGGCATCTCTGAAACCATAGTGATATGGAGAAAGTTGTGTTTGCCGGAACTCCTGCAGAGCACAGAATGTGGTTAGTCACTTATCATAGTTTGAAACCCTTAGAGGGCACTCTTGAGCAACAATAAATGATCCCTAAACAGCTTTCCAGTGAAACCTGTTCCAGCTGATTCCACGTCCTTTTACTTGATGAGTAGTAAATATACACAACTCTCTCCCCAAAACTGAAGAGCGCAGATACAATGGAAAGATTGCCAGCTCTCCCCCAGAAGTCTGACTATTTTGTTCATCCCTCCGTGCTCTAAATACATGTTGAGGCCAGGTGCAGTGGCTCATGCCTGTAATCCCAGCACTTTGGGAGGCCAAGGTAGGAGGATCACTTGAGCCCAGAAGGTTGAGGCTGCAGTGAGCCGTTTGTGCCACTGGGTGACAGAGACCCTGTCTCAAAAACAAATAAAAAAACCCAATAAAATAAATTCATGTTGAGCAACTATTTCAAGAATATTGATTTTAAAGGGTGCCTAGATATTACTTTACCTGGGAGCCTACATGTCCCATCTGTTCCTGATCTCAGGCTGGCCCCATGGCCCACATCACAGCCCCATAAACAGTGAGTTGTTGGCAGAAGCTGAAGGAATTATGTGTTGTGTTTGGTTGTTATGTTGTCCAAGGAATCTGTTGAGCCCAAAGACCTAAGCAACACACACAGTATAACTGGGGCTCAGGTAACAAATAGTAATGCGAAGTGTGGGAGCTGGGGATCTCTCTTCTGTGTGGAGCCCAGCTCCACTGCCAGATAATACACCAAAGCTGAGAGGAAGGGTGGACCTGGCCCTTGGTTACCACTACTGGCAAACTATCCTAGGTGGCCAACTGCTACTAGTGGGCTGGTGCTATCATTTTGTTAGATGGATAAAGTGGATATTGGTGGTTCCTTAATAACAATGTATTTCTTCTTAAACTTTAAATTTTTAGATGGAAAAAATGGAAAAGACAGAGAAGAAAAATTAAGAAAAAAAACAGCTAGGCTTTTATTTTATTTTATTTTGAGACAGAGTCTTGCTCTGTTGCCCAGGCTGGAGTGCAGTGGAGTGATCTCAGCTCACTGAAGCCTTGGCCTCCCGGGTTCAAGCGATTCTCCTGCCTCAGCCTCCCGAGTAGCTGGGATTACAGGTGCCCGCCACCATGCCTGGCTAATTTTTGTATTTTCAGTAGAGATGGGTTTCACCATGTTGGCCAGGCTGGTCTTGAACTCCTGACCTTGTGATCCTCCCGCCTCGGCCTCCCAAAGTGCTAGGATTACAGGCATGAGCCACCATGCCCGGCTTTTTTTTTTTTTTTTTTTTAATTTAATAGACATTAATCTTTACTTTGGCTGTTTGAAGCAAGAGTTTGAGAAACTGCTCCTCTCTGGACTTGGGGCTCTAATCTCATACATGGGTTTTGTTTTGTTTTGTTTTTTCTTTTCTTTTTTTCTTTTTTTTGAGACAGAGTCTCATTCTGTCACCCAGGATGGAGTGCAGTGGTGTGATCTCCTCTCACTGAAACCTCCGCCTCCAGGGTTCAAGTGATTCCCGTACCTCAGCATCCTGAGTAGCTAGGACTACCTGCCACCATGCCTGGCTAATTTTGTATCTTTTGTAGAGACAGGATCTCACTATGTTGCCCAGACTGGTCTCAAACTCCTGGGTTCAAGTGATCTGCCCACCTTGGCCTCCCAATGTGCTGGAATTACAAGCGTGAGCCACCACTGATCTTTTTAATGTGTCAAAGTTTTACCTTTTTCAGAATGTCATATACATAGTTGGAATCATATGATATGTAGTTTTGTTTTTGTTTTTAGAGATGGGGTATCACTATGTTGCTCAGACTGGTCTCAAACTCTTAGGCTCAAGTGACATGTCAGAAGAACCAGGAGGCAGCTCGAAGGGTCTCCCACTGGCAAAATCTGGGACAGTTAAACATAAAAATTAACATAAAATTTAAAATAATGGCAACGGATTATACAATCCATTGAATAAAATAGGAACACAGGAATCCAAACATATGAATGAATGAATGAATGAATGAATGAATAAATAAATAAATGATAAGAAAAAATGCTTATAGTAGGATGCCAACAAATAAGTGTAGAAGAAATGATGAAATGAAAACATCAGCAATTGACAAAACAAAGGAATCATTCAGAATCATCAATGGACATTGATGGGTAAAAAATTCTTGACTAGGATATCTACATAATCTCAAAATATGTCTCCATATATATATATTTTTTTCTTTTTGAGATGGAGTCTTGCTGTGTCCCCAGGCTGGAGTGCAATGGCACGATCTTGGCTCAATGCAACCTCCACCTCCTGAGTTCAGGCGATTCTCATGCCTCAGCCTCCCAAGTAGCTGGGACTACAGGCACGTGTCACCACACCCAGCTAATTTTTGTGTTTGTAGTAGAGATGGGGTTTCACCATGTTGGCCAGGTTGGTCTCGAACTCCTGGCCTCAAGTGATCTGCCTGCCTCTGCCTCCGAAAGTGCTTGGATTACAGGCATAAGAGCCACTGCACCCAGCCAATATGTAGCCTTTTTAGTTGACTTCTTTCATTTGGTGAATGCCCTTAAGGTCCCTCTATGTCTTTTCATAGCCTGATAGCTAATTTCTTTTTAGTGCTGCATAATACTCCATTGTCACATTTGTCGATCTGTTCACCTACTGAAGGACGTCTTGGTTGTTTCCAAGTGTTGGCAATTGTGAATAAAGCTGCTCTGTAGCAGGTTTGTGTGTGGACATAAGTTTTCAACTCATTTAGGTAAATACCAAGGAGTGTGCTGCTGGTTCGTATAAGTTTAGTTTTGCAAGAAAAACTGTCAAACTATAAAGTGGCTGTACCCTTTTGCCTTCCCACCTACCATGAGCGAGAGTTCCAGTTGCTCCACATCCTTGTCAGCATTTGTGGTCAGTGTCTCGATGTTGACCATTCTAACAGGTGTGTAGTAATATCTCATTTTAATTTACATTTCTTCCAAAACTTCAATTTATTTGAAATATATTCAGACTTACAGAAAAGTCATAAGTATTTTAAAAGAACTCTAGTTTACCCTTCACCTAGATTCTTTTAACATTTTTATCACATTGCTTCTGCTCTATCATTCTTTCTCCCTCTCTCTCATCTCTGAACCATTTGAGTATAAGTTACAGACACGATGTGTCTTTTTCCTCAAATACTTCAGTGTATATTTTCAAGGACATGGATATTTTCTTACATAACCACAGTGCAATGGTCAAAACAGAAAAATTAGCAGCTACAGTATGATGATCTAATCTACAGATGTTATTCATTTAACGGTTATCTCAATAATATCCTTTATAGCCAAAAAAAAGAAAGAATAAATTGTGGCCTAAGTCCAGCGCACATTGCATTTACTTATCATGTGTTTCTATCCTTTAACCTGGAACAGTTCTTTAGTCTGTCTTTGTCTTTCATGAGCTTAACTTTTTTTTTTTTTTTGAGACGGAGTCTCACTCTGTCACCCAGGCTGGAGTGCAATGGCATGATCTTGGCTCACTGCAACCTCCGCTTCCCAAGTGATTTTCATGCCTCAGCTCCCGAGTAGTTGGGACTACAGGTGCCCGCCACCAAGCCCAGCTAATTTTTGTATTTTTAGAGGAGATGGGCTTTCACCATATTGGCCAGGCTGGTCTCGAACTCCTGACCTTGTGATCCACCCGTCTTGGCCTCTCAAAGTGCTGGGATTACAGGCGTGAGCCACTGCGCCCAGCTGAATTTAACATTTTTGAAGAATACAGGCCAGGTAATTTTTTTTTTTTTTTTTTTTGAGACAGAGTCTCGCTCTGTCGCCCAGGCTGGAGTGCAGTGGTGCAATCTTGGCTCATTGCCAGCTCTGCCTCCCAGGTTCATGTCATTCTGCCTCAGCTTCCCGAGTAGCTGGGACTACAGGCGCCCGCCACCAAGCCCGGCTAATTTTTTGTATTTTTAGTAGAAACAGGGTTTCACCGTGTTAGCCAGGATAATCTTGATCTCCTGACCTCCTGATCCGCCTGCCTCGGCCTTCCGAAGTACTGGGATTACAGGTGTAAGCCACCGTGCCCTGCCAAATATAGGCCAGGTATTCTATAGAATGTTCCTGAGTTTGGGTTTGTCTGTTATTTCCTCATGATTAGATTACACTTTTAAAAATGTATTTAGTTTGTCATGTAACCCCAAATACTCAGATAGATTTCACTTTTAGCAGGAAAACAACAGATGTGATGTGTCCTCTCAGTGCTTCATATCAAGAGATACATGAGACCAGTTTGTCCTCACTGGTAATGTTAACTTGGTTAAGATGCTGTCCACCAAGTTTTTCTACTGCAAAGTTACTATTTTTATTTTTGTAATTAATAAGAATTTTATGGGCCAGGCGCGGTGGCTCAGCATGTAATCCCAGCACTTTGGGAGGCTGAGGTGGGCGGATCACTTGAGGCCAGGAGTTCCAGAACAATCTGGCCAAGATGGTGAAACCATGTCCCTACTAAAAACACAAAAATTAGCTGGACGTGGTGGCTCACGCCTGTAGTCCCAACTACTTGGGAGGCTGAGGCACAAGAATTGCTTGAACTCCGGAGGTGGAGGTGGCAGTGAGCTGAGATCCTGCCACTGCACTCCAGCCTGGGGACAGAGCAAGACTCCATCTCAAAACAAAACAAAAAAGCAATTTTATGGAGACATATTTTGAGATTATGTAGTTATCCTGGTCAAGAATTTTTTACCCATCAATGTCCACTGAGGATTCTGAATGATTCCTTTGTTTTGTCAATTGCTAATGTTTTCATTTTATCATTTCTTCTACACTTACTTGTTGACATCCTACTATAAGCACTTTTTCTTATCATTTATTTATTCATTCTTTCATATGTTTGGATTCCTGTGTTCCTCCTTTATTCAATGGATTTTATAATCCATTGCCATCATTTTAAATTTTTTTTGTTAATTTTTATGTTTAACTGTCCCAGATTTTGCCAGTGGGAGACCCTTCAAGCTGCCTCCTAGTTCTTCTGACATGTCCCCATCATTCTTTGGGCCCTTTCTTACTTTCTGGTACAATATAATATTCCAGGCTTATTGTGAATTTTTCCTGCCCAAGCCCTTGAATCAACCATTTCTTCAAGGAATGCTGGTTCTTTTTAGTGGAAAATGGTGTTTAGAAAACAAAATACAAAAACAAAATTGGGGTATTACTTCTAGACCCTCACAGCAGACAGCTAGAAAATATGTGTATATGTACATTTATATAACCCCCCACATAGGTATTATATGTACTATATCTATATTTATACTTAGCTAAACCATTAATACCTATTTTCCATTCCAATAACATAGGATTTATTATGTCCCCCCTTCCACATCTATATCTGCTTTCTCTGACAGTAGGAAACTTGGCTCCCATTATCCTCAGCATATTTATTTACTGGATTAGTCAGGGTTCTCTAGAGGGACAGAGCTAATAGGATAGATGTATATATGAAGGGGAGTTTATTAAGGAGTATTGATGCACACGATCACAAGGTGAGGTCCCACAATAGGCCGTCTGCAAGCTGAGGGGTAAGGAAGCCAGTCTGAGTCCCAAAACCTCAGAAGTAGGGGAGCCGACAGCGCAGCCTTCAGTCTGTGGCCAAAGGCCTGAGAACCCCTGGCAAACCAATGGTGTAGTCCAAGAGTCCAAAAGCTGAAAAACTTGGAGTCTGTTGTTCAAGGGCAGGACGCATCTAGCACGGGAGAAAGACAAAGGCCAGAAGACTCAGCAAGTCTGCTCTTCCATCTTCTGCCTGGTTTATTCTAGCTGCGCTGGCAGCTGATTAGGCAGTGCCCACCCAGATTGAGGGTGGGTCTGCCTCTCCCAGTCCACCGACTCAAATGTTACTCTCCTTTCGCAGCACCCTCACGGACACACCCAGGAACAATACTTTGCATCCTTCAATCCAATCAAGTTGACACTCAATATGAACTATCACATTCACTGAGTTCTAGAACTCAGCAAAACAAATAAACACATGTTAGAACTACTAAGCTCTACCACTGGGAAAAACAAGCCAGGGATCTAGAGTTCAATATTTGTTTGCACTCTGAGTCCACATACTGTATGCAAAAGTTTGAGTTAGTTCTTTTTTCTCTTCAGTGTGGTTATGTTTTTCATTTGGTACCATTTGATATATGGATATGTTCACTTGTTTATATTTGTACTCCATGGGGGAGGGGAGTGTTCACCATTAGGGGTGTGTGTGTGTGTGTGTGTCTGTTTATAAAACACTGAGATGGTTCAAAAGTCAAAACTCTGCAAAAAGGTATACTCACGAAAGCATCATGACTTTTTTTAGCAAATAATTTTTCATTTCTTTCTTTCTTTCTTTCTTTCTTTTTTTTTTTTTTGAGACAGGGTTTCACTCTGTCACCCAGGCTGGAATACAATGGTGCAATCATAGCTCACTGCGACCTCAAACCCCTGGGCTCAAGCGATCCTCCTGCCTCAGCCTTCTCAGTAGCTGGGACTACAGGCTCATGCCACCATGCCCACCTAATTATTACTACTTTTTTTAAAGATAGGAGGGTCCTCACTATCTTGCCCAGTCTGGTCTCTAACTCCTGGCCTCAAGTGATTCTCCCACCTTGTCCTCTCAAAGTGGCAAATAATTCTTTTTTATTGAGAGTTCTTCCTCCTATTTTTTTTATAACTGTGGGCCTGGATCCTTTGGTTCATTTACCCTGTATTCATTCTGTGCCTTCCTGTTCTCCAGTCTTCAAGCACATACATAGACATACACACAAATTCAGCAGATAGTAAAAAAAACCACAAGATGATCTTTCAGATGACATACATTTTTCCCACTTTTAAACATAACATGATTCTATGTGGAAACAATTTTTTAAGTTAATTTTTTGCACCGTAATTATTTTTGTTTGGTGTATGATAATGACATATTTAAGTGATCATCTAAAAATAGCAATTTTTGTGAAAATGCCACAGTGGGCTATGAGGCCCTAATCTTATTCTATAAAAGCAGAGCATTTCCTTTACTAAGAGAGTAAGCAAACTGGTTTTCTGTTTTTACTTACCTGCAGGACAAAACAGTGCATGAATCACTTCCTCTGTAAGAAAGTGATGGTAGCCTAGGCGCTCATTATCCAAACCATTTGCCAGGTCCACTCTGCCAGCCCCATTTCCTCAGGATGTCTGTCCTTCAGCACTTTCGGCTCCTTCTGGGACAGTCATCAGCTGCCTCTAATCTCCTCACAGTCCAGGTGCTGTGATAATGGTGGTGGTAGTGGGCTGAGACTGTATGTCTCTCTCTCTCTATATATATATTTTTTCTTGTAAAATTTTTTTATTTTTTATTTTTTAAATTATTATTATTATTATTGAGATGGAGTCTCGCTCTGTCACCCAGGCTGGAGTGCAGTGGCGTGATCGCGGCTCACTGCAAGCTGCACCTTCCAGGTTCACGCCATTCTCCTGCCTCAGCCTCCTGAGTAGCTGGGACTACAGGCACCCGCCACCACACCCAGCTAATTTTTTTGTATTTTTAGTAGAGACAGGGTTTCACCGTGTTAGCCAGGATGGTCTTGATCTCCTGACCTCGTGATCCGCCTGCCTCGGCCTCCCAAAGTGCTGGGATTACAGGCGTGAGCCACCACGCCCAGCCTAATTTTATTTTTTTTAAGCTGCAGGTCTTGCTATGTTGCCCAAGCTGGTCTCGAACTCTGGGTTCAAGTGATCTTCCTGTCTCAGCCTCCCAGGTGAATTACAGGCATGATGCCTAGCTCTGAGACTGATTTTTTAAAAACAAGAATCCACTGTGCCAAGGTTGACTAAGATTTTCACCATTATATTTTGAAGTCCTGTTTTTTCTCTTTTTCCTTTTTTTTTTTCTTTTCTTTTTGACACAGGGTCTTGCTCTGTCACTCAGGCTGGAGTCGGGGAGGATTGCTTGAGCCTGGGAAGCAGAGGTTGCAGTGAGCTGTGATCATGCCACTGATTCTAGCCTCAGCGACAAAGCAAGGCTCTGTCTCAAAAATAAATAAGTAAAAATAAAATTGGGGCCAGGAGCGGTGGCTCACACCTGTAATCCCAGCACTTTAGGAGGCCGAGGCAGGTGGATCACGAGGTCAAGAGATCGAGACCATTCTGGCCAACATGGTGAAACCCCGTTTCTACTAAAAATACCAAAATTAGCTGGGCTTGGTGGCATGTGCCTGTGGTCCTAGCTACTCAGGAGGCTGAGTCAGGAGAATCGCTTGAACCTGGGAGACAGAGGTTGCAGTGAGCCAAGATCACACTACTGTACTCCACCCTGACGACAGAGCGAGACTCCGTCTCAAAAAATAAATAAAATAAAGTTCGGAGTTGACAGCATGAAAGTATGAAAGTATGTGTGAATACTAGTGGAATGAGTGCAGATAAAGGAGATAAGTCACAACATACTTAGGCCTGAGACACCCCTGAAAGGTGTGAAAAACAGCAAAGAAGACCAAGAAAGGGTTCAAGAGAAGAACATCAGGGGTTTGGGGCTGGGCGCTATGGCTCACACCTGTAATCCCAGCACTTTGGGAGGCTGAGATGGGAGGATCGCTTGAGTCCAGGAGTTCAAGACCAGTCTGGTCTGCATGGAGAGACCTCCCCATCCCTAAAGTAAATACATAAATAGAAAAAAAATCCAAGGGTTTGGGGTTCTACAAGCCAAGGGAAGAAAGTGAATTAAGGAGAGCATGACCAAGTATGTCAAATGCTACTAAGATGAGGACTGAGAACTTGACTATTGAATTTAGCAGCATACAAGTTATTGGTAACCTTGATATAAGAGCAGTTTCAGTGAAATGGTGGGTGCAAAATGCTGACTGGAATCCGTTCAGTAAAGAACGGGAAGAGAGGAATTGGAGACAGTAAGTATAGAAAACTCTTTCAAGGAGTGTTGCTGCTAATGGGAGGAAAAGTGGAGTGAAGAGGCTTACGTTGGGAAGAATTATAGCAGGTTTTCGCTAATAAGATTCAAGAAGAAATCTGACATTACATGAGAAAGGGAGAATGGCAGGCGAATGGGAAATTGGATACTGTGCACAGGTGAGGGACCCAATTAGGACAGGACATGGATAGGCAGGGAGAGAGAGTATATGGTCTCAAGAGGTAATAGGTGGCTTAGATATGGTTGTGGGAGGCTGTCCCCTGCTGATTGCTTGTATTTTACTAAAGTGGGAAGGAAGGTCATCTATTGGGATGGAGGATTGGGGATACAGTGGAGGTCTCAGGAGGAAGTAGTGATGACCTAGTAATAAATTTTAGGTGAAACCAATCTGCTTTGTTCAGCCACATGGGTACAAGTATGAAAACAGAACTGAGTAAACTGGGGATTTGGTTTTGCCAAGCGAGACAAAGCTAGACGTGGCGAAGGAAGTGAGTGAATGTGAGGGAGTGATCAGTGACTGAACATCGGATTTAAAATGGGTAAGGGTAGAAGAGAGGACATCAAGAGCTGAGGGACAAATTATTAGCTTTTTAAAATCTGTTTTCTTTCTTTTTTTTGGAGAGGGGGAGGTAGGGACAGAGTTTCACCCTTGTTGCCCAGGCTGGAGTGCGATGGCACTATCTCAGCTCACTGCAACCTCCACCTCCCGGGTTCAAACAATTCTCCTGCCTCAGCCTCCCAAATAGTTGGGATTACAGGCGTGCGCAACCATGCCCAGCTAATTTTGTATTTTTAGTAGAGACAGGGTTTCACCATGTTGGTCGGGCTGTTTTTGAACTCCTGACCTCAAGTGATCCACCTACCTCCGACTCCCAAAGTGCTGGGATTACAGGCATGAGCCACCACGCCTGGCCAAATCTGTTTTCTTATCTGAATCTTAGAATGTTATTGTGAGGCTTTTATGTGATAATGTAAATACAGTACTTAGCACAGAACTAAGCACTGAATAAACATTCTACCAGTGCTTCTGAAATGAAGCTTTCCATCAGAATCACCTGGGGAATTTTTGAACCGACTATTACTCGGAGGCCAATGCAGACAAATAAATAGAATTTTTGAGGGGGATGGGGATGGGGACCAGGGAATGGCTCTAACTACTCTGCAGGTGATTCACATGTGCAGTCAGGGCTGCAAATTTTTGAATTAACAAAAATGATCTCTATTAACAATTATGAACTGAATATCTCATATGGGCCAGACAATATATGATTGTCTCATGTAAGTCTCACAAGTCTTCAAGGCTCAAACATAAGTGGTAGAGCCAGGGATTTCTAGTCAATGGTCTCGGACACTAAGTCCTTCCCACTATAAGCTTGGTACTCCAGTGATGGTTTGAGGAGCAGCAGCACCCCTCGGGAGCTTGTTAGAACTGCATCGCAGGCCACTATGTCAGTCTGCAGTTTAACAAGATCCCCAGGTGATTCATGTGTACATTAGAGTTTGAGAAGCCTTGAATTATGCCACTCTGATGTAATGTGGACCCAAATCACATTTGGGTCCCTTTGTGAGCCAAGGGCAATGTTTATTTTACAGAATCCTTCAGCTGATGCCAATTGCTTTAAAGCATCAATTTTAAAATTGTTGATTAGTTCTTCGTGTCCTAAAAAAGCTAATAGGCTTCTGCGAAGGGTTATCTCTGGAAATGTTTTAGTTATGAAATCACAGTGGAAGTCATGAGGATTCCTTTTCAGGGCTTTAAAAAGGCTAAAGCCAATTGAGTAGCTGTATGAAACTCCGAAGTGTTCCATGACATATTATTTGTATAGCGTTTCATAGTCACCGAGTGCGATGTTTCTTGTAGTGACCACAGGAATTCATTATTGGGATTCAGGTAAATTGTCTAAGGTCATATGACCAGTAAGACAAGGACTAAGACTTTTTTTTTTTTTTTGAGACAGAATCTCACTCTGTCACCCAGGCTGGAGTGCAGTGGCGCCATCTCAGTTCACTGCAACCTCCGCCTCCCGGGTTCACGCCATTCTCCTGTCTCAGCCACTCGGGTAGCTCGGACTACAGGCACCCGCTACCACACCCGGCTAATTTTTTGTATTTTTAGTAGGGACAGGGTTTCACTGTGTTAGCCAGGATGGTCTCAATCTCCTGACCTCATGATCTGCCTGCCTCGGCCTCCTAAAGTGCTGGGATTACAGGTGTGAGCCACCATACCCGGCCTCAACAGTTCTTTTGAGTTCTCTTTTCGTGCTTATTTCACTATACAGTTGACCCTTGAACAACACAGGATTGAAGCACAGGTCCTTATATGTGGACTTTTTTTCAATAAATAGCCCTCTGCATTGATGGATTCCACATTTACAACCAAATGTGGATGAAAACACGGTATTCCATCAGGATGCAAAACCCACCAATACGGAGGTTTGACTCAGTATCTGTGGGTTCCAGAGAGCTCAGGGACTTGAGTATGAGCAGATTTGGGTACCTGTGAGTGGTCCTGGAACCAGTCTCCCATAGACACTGTGGGCCGACTGGATAAGCCTCTAGAATGTAGGCAAACACCACAAACTATGGAGCAAAACAATCGTTTCCTTGGGTATGGAGCAGCACTGTTTTGTCGGTTGTTGGAGATCTAGACTTGGAGTTATAACAAAGAGAAGCCACTGTTTCTATACTTGGAGAACCTTGAGTCTGTCATAAGCTTTATTCTTGAAAGACTTACACTTTTTTTTTTTTTTTTTTGGCAGAGGGTAGGTTGGAGGTAGGAGTATCAGTACCTTACTGGAGTAACTTTCCTGAGCAGAACTGAAATCACTGTGAACTGAACATGAGCTGAAATAACATGTAAAGCTTTGGAATTAATTTAAGGATGTGTTTATTTACAAGATACAAATGTTTAATATTTAATAGGAATTAAAGTGCTTAATTTTACAATGTTTCCAATTATCTGCTTTTATGACCAAATATACATATATTACACAATATATACATTATCTGCAAGTATTTTACATTCACATAGCTAGAAAAGAAAAATTACTTGTGTATACTTTCACACTTGAGTCAACTGTAAAATTCCAAAAACATACATTCTCAAACTTATCAGTCAAGAATTCAAAAGAAAAATCCAGATACGCTTATTTTATTTTTTGAGTCGAAGTCTTGCTCTGTCACCCAGGCCGGAGTGCAGTGGTGCAATCTCGGCTCACTGCAACCTCTGTCTCCCGGGTTCAAGCAATTCTCCTGCCTCAACCTCCCGAGTAGCTGGGATTACAGGCATGTGCCACCACACCTGGCTAATTTTTGTAGAGACAGGGTTTTGCCATGTTGGCCAGGCTGGTCTCGAACTCCTCGGCCTCCCAAAGTGCTGGGATTACAGGCATGGGCTACCGTGCCTGGCCCAGATACACTTATTTTGTTTTATTTTTATTTAGTAGAGACAGGGTTTCACCATGTTGGCCAGGCTGGTCTCAAACTCCTGACCTGAAGTGATCTGCCCACCTCGGCCTCCCAAGGGCTGGGATTACAGGCATGAGCCACTATGCCCGGCCTATGCTTATTTTAAAATGTCAATTGTCACTCACAAAATGAAATGCTAGTTTGGTTAAAAAAAAAAAAGTCTTATATACAGACAGACATGACTGTTTTGCTAATGAAGAGAACCCCCCACAAGTGATACATTCCAATATCCATATACTGTGTAATATATAATGTGATTCTCTTATAATGGTCCCCACAGACTAGTTTCTTCCCAAACCTATATGTCACTATGTATTTGGTATTTATTTATTAAAGTATGATATGAGATTTCTTGATTTACGTTTTCCACTAAAACTACCACAATGAATTTTGGGAAAAGGGGTTGACCATCATATAACTCCCGGTGACCCCAACAAGTTAAAACTATCTTGTAGAAGCCATGTGCTATTTCATGTCAAAATACAGGAAAAGATACTGCATTCTGCCAAATGCTCAGTCCAGAAAGTAGAAGACCATGATTGACTTCAGATTTTTTTTTTTTTTGCCTCAGTAAACAGTACAGAAAATGATCTGAGAATGAAATTATTTTTTAAAAGCCCAAAGGAGAAAAAGAATAACAAGATATCATAGTCTAGCATTTACAGGCCAAGGTCAAAAACCTGGGTGCAATGGATCCCATCAGCATGTAATTACATAGATTTTATATCCCTTCTGCAGTTAAAATATTTCATCTTATCTTAAAACACATTGCTGTGGTCTGGAGACCAGCAGTCTCTCCCCCACATCTCTCTTCATTCTTGCTTGTTTCAGTTTCTTATCTTATTCCTCTCTGCCCTTTCTGTAAAGAAAGCAAAGTTATCTTCTCATGACTACGTGATTAAGGGGTATATATAAGGATGAATTATACATAAAGATCCATGTAAATAATTTATGTTAAAATATTTAAGTTAAACAATTTCGATAGAAAAAGTTCATTTCTATGGAAAGACAGAATTGCAAATCAACAGTGTTTTTACATATATACATACATGTATAAATTCACAGAAAGGGTTTTTTAAGTTGACCTAGTGGTCTTTATGTATCATAGTCATTTTCTAAAGCTGAGAATCTATAGTAGATAATAGTATGCAAATAACAAGAAGTTTGATTCTAATAAAATTGGTAAGAATGAAGAAGCAACATGATCCACTACAGATGTCAATACAGTCTGAAGAATAGGAACTGGTTGGCCACAGTTCATATACTAATACATTCTTGGAGAATACAAAATTTAAGAATGAAAACATTAAGACATTCTTGACTTTTGAGTTAATTTTAGCTTATAAATATCATGTGCTTAATCTTAGACCCACTAACACAAATATCATATGATATAGGAAATCTTCATTAATCTATTCTGCATTATAGCAAAGATACCTATAAAACCCAAGACGCTTGTTCCCTAGAAGTTTACTTGCTCCGGTTGGTGCTTGCTACTCAGGTTGTATCTAGTCCAGAAAGATCATCAGAAATTTATCACAGACAATATGCTCAGATTAAGAACTTAAGGCTTTGAATATAACCAGAAAACAAATAAAAGCAACCACCCTGTTTCCAAAAAGTAAGGACAAGGAAAAGTAAAACAGAATTGTGAACTCAAAAGTATTTTTGACAAAAGTTTTTAGAAGGCATCAAAGAATCTTTAACAACCCTGCAGTACCACAAACTTTATCGTTTTCTTTATATATTTATAACTAGAACAAGTGTTCTTAAAAAAAAAAAATCCAAACGTGTGCGTATATATATATGGGGAAAGGGTACATTTAAAAGGTTAGTTTCTGTAAAAAGTTTAATAATTTTTAAAAAAATTGGGGTAAGTTAAGTCACCTAGTGAAGATAAGTACACAAACCTGATGTCAAATTAAACTTCAGGGAAAACAAAATGTGCTTTTTCTATCCATTTTCTTTGTTAAAGTAAAAATGTTCTTGATAGTTATTTAAAATCCAAGGAATGATGCCCCTTCCCATTTCCCTTCCTTATACTCTGCAATTCGAATTACCGTATCACATCTAGAAAGTTAATAATTATCTATATTCTTGTGGGAAGGGGCCTTCATATTAAATTTTCAGTATAAAACCATACCCTAAAGAGTTTTATTGCTTGCATACATGATGACACTGTGATGCCATTATTACAAAAGTGGCTGGTGTTTTTTATTGAGCCCCACTTAAAACCAAGATAAAAGTCTGCACTATATTTCATACTTAACACGCCAAATGGTAGGCTTTCAGCAAAAGCAAAATTTAAGCTTAAAATATTGAAATGTTTTATAATGAATAGAAATTTTGTCAAGGAAGTACTTTTTAAAGTTTGGAGGAAGGGCACTTTAAAGAAAAGATGACTTGGAAAGCACCAAATGAGTGAAAATAAAGAATTAAGACCCACAGGGAACGTTGGTTTTAATGGGAAAGCAACCAATGATATTTTTAGGTTGTCATGACTGCTCAAGTATGTTGGAAGGGAAAAGGCATTGATTATTCTTATCATCAATCACACTTTGAGGTCTCTTGGTTGAATTGTTTAATAAATGGCTAAGGGTATTACTTTACCTTTCATTGAGTAAAAACATCAGTGATTCTTTAATAAGAGAGAAGCGGGTAAGGCTGTTTCACTGCTTCTCTTTGCGTTTAGCTGAAGAATGTGGGGTGGAAAGTGAATATGGTGACCGGATAACCAGAAATTCTCTTCTAGTATTAATGCTTCTCATTTAAAAAATTAAAGATAATGACTGTTAAGAGCATGATAATAAACATTATCTTTACATGAGTATTCTTTCAATGATCTAAGTTAAATAACATTGATATTTATTGAGCCAAAACTTAAGTGTGTCCATGTTACTTCTGTTTTGGTAGGGAAAGTGTAGTCTTCTTGCTTTTAAAAATAGTTTTCAAAAATAATCTGACTTATAAATCTTCCCATTGGCCCATACATTACCATTGTTCTAGTCACACTTACAAAAGTCCTCTTCCCCAGTTAATCATTCTGTATTTCCATTGCTTCTCTTTTCTTGAGATTAAGAAAACCAAAGCATCATCTATAGCTACAGTTTAATTTTCCAAAAAACCACTCTGAGTATACATCACACACATACCCCGCTGGCCATTAAAAAAGAGAAGCAATGTAAATTTTCTTCTAGTCTTTCCCTGATTTAATAGGGCCTAAGAAGCTACTTTTATCTCTTTTTGGCTCCATCTATTTGGTTTAATGTTAATGATCATGGCTGATAATCCTTTTATGGAGGAAGGGAACCTATTATGTCAGCAATAATTGGTTCACTTGCTCCTTTGGGGTGGAAAAAATAAGATATTTCTTAAAGTAACAAGGCCTGAATAAATGTGTGGCAGTCTCAAATTCTATTCTATATCTAAGGTGTAATCCTTACATACTAAAGATAGTGGGATCATTCTTGTAGATTTCTAGCAGACTGGTACATTAAAAAGTGACAATGTTTGGGGTATGACAGTATAAAAAAAGGTTTAATTTGAGAAAAAGGATTAAGTTAAATAGTAAACTTAGTGTGAGATTTTAATCACAAGTACAAAAGAGTGAAGAGCAGCCTTCATGACAAGGAATCATGTGACCAGCCCCCACCCCAAACATAGGTTATCACATGTGGATTTTGTTTCATTCCGACAAAGGAAAAGGCCCATACAGTTATCTTAAGTGTTCATTATATAGAGACCTTATTTAACCATGCTCGATTATCTTACGGAAAAGAAAAACATTACGATAAATGTGGTTTCCACATATCCTAGTTCTGTAAAAGGTCAGGTGTCTCATAAAGTTTGGGTTTTGGTGAAAATGTTTGTACATGCTGATGTTAACTACTGCAATAATTATAGGATTGTAAACGGTAAAATAACCTGTATGACTTTGACTGTCCCAGTGACCAAAATGCACTTTAATCTTAGAATAATCAAGACTGAAGCATTAACTGAACCCTCATCTTATATTAATAGCACCTTCTAAGAGAGGCACTGTTTTAAATAGGCACAGAAACAAAAAATGGTACTTTAAAAGTACTGTTGGAATTCACAAATATATCCCATGCCACATAAATTACCGCTTATTATAAAAATATCAATACCCTCAAATGCCAATCAGCAAAACATAAATCACCAAAACATTTCTTCAGTTTAGAACATTGCTCAATTCCACGATAAACCATGCTTTATATTTAAAAAATAAATTAGAGATGAATGTGAACCTAAAAGCATGTATAATATATATATTTAATACTATATATACATAATTGCTATATACTTAAGACATTCTTAGGAGTATTTCTACAAAAACAAGTTATCTTTTCTTTATAAATCGGAAATCTGAACACCAACAATTTGTCCTTTTTCTTTTGTTTTAAAAGAACAGACATCATTTATGCAGCTAGAGATTTATAAACTAAATTAAATAAGTTAATACAATAGCCTCAACTGTCCCTGTATTTTTCACCATGGATCTATTTTGGCAACATGGAGGTATATCTTTCAAACTGTTCCAGGTCCTACATGTGAAAGAGAAGAAGACATGAAAGGATTTCTTAAATGGAAGTGCTCATTCTAACCTGACGGTGACAGAATCAATTGATACACCATTTCTTCAAGACAAAAAAGCACATATTCAAGGAATAGCTCAAAAAATGCTCCAGTTTTCACATTATTTCAAAACTTTATCGGTAGAATGACTCTGCACACTAATTTCACTAAGAGTACATAAACATAGGAAAATAGTCCTCAAAAGATGCATTTATGGGCCTATATTTTTCAACATAAAGTGCTAGCAGATGTGTAAGAAGAGCTGGGAATGTCTTGAGCTGTAAGTCCTGAGACCTCCACACCATGGCTGGTCCTGGAGGAGTTCAGCATTCTGATTTTTTCTTAGGTTCAGGATGATCATCCAAGGTGGCTGGATGCTCATTTGGACCACCTGGTGTCTCACCTGTGACAGCTAAAAGGATGACTTTCAGCCACTTCTGCTTCAGTTCCTCACTGTCTGCAGCAAAGCTGTGCACGGACTTAGACTGGGTCAGTTTGAAACTGTGTGGCAGGTCTGCGCTCCTTGGCATTTCATCCACCACATAGCCCAGAAGTGGAATGGTGGCCTGGGCTCTGACGTCCTAAAGAAAAGACATCAGACATTAAAAGCAGGTGATGTATTCGCTTGTTAAGTGTGTCCCTTGCTCCTACTAAACCTCTCTTCCTACCACTGTCCCAAACAGACTTAAACGGTGAGTTCTCCATGGGCACAGAGGGCAATCCCATTGCTTAGTACAGAGCCTGTACGTGAGGCCACTGATAATGTTAGCTGAATGAATGAGAGCTGACACCCAAATCAGCTAGGACTCAGAGACACTACACCCTCCTCTCTGTGAAAAGAGCCTTTCAACTCTTCATTCAGTGAAAAGGGGAAGAAAAATCGCCATCATACTGTATTAAACCAGCAAACAGTAATGAGAATCTCATTACTAAAGGCAGTTTTATCTGGTGATTCACTTATTCCATCAACTTATTTATGGACATAGAAAGCTTATAGGAAAAGCAATAAAGGAGAGTAAACTATATAGCCTGTCATTTTCAGTCTATTTTCAAAATAAAATAATTTTACCAGCCCTTAATTTATAGACTGAAATACAACAGGTATATGTAAAATTTTTATATTTCAGAGTAAATGCATAACTGGTTTAAGTGTTGTACATTTGATTCTTCAAGCACAACACAATCATAGGACCTGGTGCTGCTCTTGTTAAAAGCTAAACCTGCATATCATTGTTCCCATAGATTTATCTCAGATCCATATACGTGGGGTTCTCAAAAAAATTGCTACTGAATGATAATGCAAGACTGATTTTAAGTTCCCCTTCCTCTCAAACTCCTTTTTCAGATATCTATCCATTGAGCAAAAAGAAAAAATAAAATAAAAAACAAAATTGGCTGGGCGCAGTGGCTCACGCCTGTATTACCAGCACTTTGGGAGGCCGAGGTGGGCGGATCACCTGAGGTCAGGAGTTCAAGACCAGCCTGATCAACATGGTGAAACCCTGTCTCTACTAAAAATATAAAAATTAGCCAGGTGTGGTGGTGGGTACATGTAATCCCAGCTACTCGGGAGGCTGAGGCAGATGAATCACTTGAACCCAGGAGGTGGAGGTTGCAGTGAGCCAAGATTGCACCATTGCACTATAGCCTGGGTGACATGAGCAAAACTCTGTCACAAAGAAAACAACAACACAACAAACAAACAAACAAAAAACAAAATTAAAAAGTCTTTTCTTAATGTTTCCTATCATTAAAAAGGCTTGTTTCTCCCGTTTGCTTCCCCTTCTCCTCATGCTCATTCCTAATTCAACTCATCTTTTCTCAAACCCATTGAATGAGACAAGAAAGGGGACAGATGATCCACAAACTGAAGAAAATATAGGCTATAAAATGAATCAATCAGCTTAAACAACAAACTTGAACTTTACTCATTATTTTTCAATTTTAATGAAACAGTGAAACTGCCTGAACTCTTGTTCTACAGATTTTGAGTCCGCTGTCCACTCGCTTCCCCTTGCCCCCAAGGGCATCTGTCCCTTCAGACAGATGTGGTTTAGATACCTGGGGGGCACCATACATGTACAGCACAAGAGGGTCTTGCTTGGGGATCACACACCAAGCTTTCTGCCAAGGTTTTGACTTCTCCATATACTGAAGAAAGCTGCACACCACACTGTTTCCAGATACTTCTGCTGATTCAATCTAGAAAAATATAATGGAAAGACAGAATGAACACACAACAAATCAGATAGAGAAATATTCACAAAGTACAATGTGTTTATACAAAATGTTTCCCTGGACTATCCAAAAAAGATTCATTTGCAATTATTGTTTAAACATTTTAACATGGAAAATATTTAAGCCAATTTTAGCTCTTTACGTAACTAGACCTTGAATTTAAAGAGTTAAGTGTTTATTGATTGCTTACTATGTAGGCACTTTCCTTAGCTCAATACATGTCTTATTTCATTTAATCCTCACACCAACACTGAGAAGGTAGTATTTTCATTTTTTCTGAGGCTCAGAGTTTAAATAGCTTTCCCAAGATCACACATTGGCATGCTGGGATTTGAACCCAGAGAGTCTGAATCCAGAGTCTGAACTTCGATCCTCTGCCTCAGCCTCTCAAGTAGCTGGGAGAGAATTTTTAAATTTTTTGTAGAAACAGGGTCTCACTACATTGCCCACACTGGTCTTGAACTCCTGGCCTCAAGCAATCCTCCCACCTTGGCCTCCCAAAGTGCTGGGATTACAGGGGTGAGTCACTGTGCCCAGAACAGAGCCTGAACTTTTAACGACAATGCGATACCTACTTCAATTAAGAAAGAATATAAAAGCAAAAAGGCAAATAGTAACCAGCAATCTTTGTTTGAGTACACCTAATTAAAGATTTTTTCAGTGCAATCAATTTTTGTAGAGTGATATGGTTAGGCCTTGTGTCCCCACCCAAATCTCATCTTCAATTGTAATCCCCACGATCCCCATGTGTCGAGGGAGAGACCTGATAGGAGGTAACTGGATCATGGGGGCAGTGTCCCCCATGCTGTTCTCGTGATCGTGAGTTCTCATGAGATCTGATGGTTTTGTAAGTGTCTGACAGTTCTTCCTTCATACACTTGCTCACTCTCGCTTGCCACCATGTAAGATGTGCCTCTTCCCCTTCTGCCATGATTGTACGTTTTCTGAGGCCTCCCCAGCCATGCGGAACTGTGAGTCAATTAAGCCTTATTTATTATTTATTTATTTATTTATTTATTCATAGAGATGGAGTCTTGCTCTGTCACCCAGGCTGGAGTGCAATGGCACGATCTCAGCTCACTGCAAGCTCCACCTCCCAGGTTCTCACCATTCTCCTGCCTCAGCCTCCTGAGTAACTGGGACTACAGGCACTCACCACCACGCTTGGCTAATTTTTTGTACTTTTAGTAGAGATGGGGTTTAACTGTGTTAGCCAGGATGGTCTCGATCTCCTGACCTCGTGATCTGCCTGCCTTGGCCTCCCAAAGTGCTGGGATTACAGGCGTGAGCCACCATGCCCGGCCAAGCCTCCTTTATTTATAAATAACCCAGTCTTGGGTATGTCTTTATAGCAGTGTGAGTACAGACTAATACATAGAGCCATTTAATTTTTCTATTTTGCCTCCTAATATAAAAATTGTTGGCTAAAAGGCTGGGTGCGGTGGCTCACACGTGTAATCCCCGCACTTTGGGAGGCAGAGGCAGGTAGATCACTTGAGGCCAGGAGTTTGAGACAAGCCTGGCCAACACAGTGAAACCCTGCCTCTACTAAAAAAAAAAAAAAAAAAAAGAAGAAAAAAATTAGCCAGGTGTGGTGGCACATGCTTGTAATCCCAGCTACTCAGGAGGCTGAGACATAAGAATTGCTTGGACCGGGGAGGCAGAGATTGCAGTGAGCTGAGATCGCACCACTGCACTCCAGCCTGGGTGACAGAGCAAGACTCTGTCTAAAAAAAAAAAAAAAAGAAAAAAAATACTGAAAAAAGGAACAAAACCATTTAACTAAATGGTAGTTTTTATTATATGCCTTATGGAAACTAACTGGTTTGCTTCTATTTTCTGTCTCCAAAACCCTTCAGGTAGTGCTACTCAGTGTTATTCATGTTGGTCTCCAGGTCTGCAAATGGTTTATGTTACCAGTTTCTGGTAAGCACACAAAGTAGGAGTAAGTATTAAACTTTTATAACAATTTGAATTTGTGATGATAACCAAGTGCATTACAGTGTATTTTACAAAAACACTGATCTGTGATAGTTCAGGAAAAAAAAACTGATGCTTCAGCATAGACAATTTTTTTTTTTTTTTGAGACGGAGTTTAGCTCTTGTTGCCCAGGCTGGAGTGCAATGGTTCAATCTTGGCTCACTGACACCTCCGCCGCCCAGGTTCAAGCGATTATCCTGCCTCAGCCTCCCAAGTAGCTGGGATTACAGGCACACGCCACCAGGCCCGGCTAATTTTTGTATTTTTAGTAGAATGGGGTTTCACCATGTTCGTCAGGCTGGTCTCGAACTCCTGTCCTCGGGTGATCCACCCACCTCAGCCTTGGTGCTAGGATTATAGGCGTGAGCCACACCGCACCTGGCCACAGACAATTTTTAAAGCAGCACTGGTTAGCAGACGATAACTCACAAGCCAAATCCAGCCTACCAGTTGTTTTTGTATGGCCCATGAGCCAGGGTGTTTTTTTACGCGACCACTTACAATTAATTTGATGATAGGGAACGCTAACTTCAGATTCCAATTAAGTGAATGGTTATCCTCCCCCAAAGAATTCCATTCTTATTAGTAGATCCTTATTATTATTATTATTATTATTATTATTATTAGAGACAGAGTCTCGCCCTGTCACCCAGGCTGGAGTACAATGGCACGATCTCAGCTCACTGCAACCTCCATCTCCCAGGTTCAAGTGATTCTCCTGCCTCAGCCTCCCGAGTAGCTGGGATTACAGGGGCACACCACTACGCGGGCTAATTTTTGTACTTTTAGTAAAGACGGGGTTTCACCATGTTGACCAGGCTGGTCTCGAACTCCTGACCTTGTGATCCGCCCGCCTCAGCCTCCCAAAGTGCTGGGATTACAGGCATGAGCCACTGCGCCCAGCTGATCCATATTATTAAAAAGCCTAAATAAATATAATTTTAATTTTGTAAAAAAAAATTGTGGAAATTTGTTTTCTCTCTTTTTACAAATATGTATGTAATATCCTTGGTTTGGCCTCTTGGTCTGCAAAGACTAAAATATTTTCTCTCTGACTCTTTACAGGAAAGTGTGTTGATCACTGTTCTAGGGCATATAACATACTAGTTGGTACAAAATCAGTCTCGAATATGCATTTAAGTTAATGTGTCCATGTACATACTTGTCTCCTATGTATGGACTTCATACTATATATTTATTTCATTATATGAGTTGACCTAATAAGTAATTCATTAATTTTTCCTCAGTATAAGGTTCTCTAAAATACTAGCTAGGGATTTTTCAGAGATACGGCCTGAAGCTGACCCTAAAACCAAGTTCCCCGACTCATTATATTGTGCCAGTCTCATCAGTTGTCGCTATTAAGTCTTGAGGCTCTGTTCCTGATGTCCAATGAAGCATGTCTTTCCATCCTTACTGCCTGAGAAAGCCCCAGTTTGGTAGGCCATACGAGTAACATCTATACCCTGGAAGAATGATTTTAGTGTGTGGGGCTACACTTAGCCTCAAATGGACCTTGAAGTTTGTAACCCTTTATCAATGAACAGAAGTGACCTTTGTACACTTGTAAGTGTACAGGTATACTTGTACGCTTACACAATGTAAATGCTCAATAAATACTTACTGATTCTTTAGAGATTCTTTTTTTTTTGAGACAGAGTCTAGCTCTGTCACCAGGCTGGAGTGCAGTGGCGCAATCTTGGCTCACTGCAATCTCCGCCTCCCGGGTTCAAGCGATTCTCCTGCCTCAGCCTCCCAAGTAGCTCGGACTACAGGTGTGTGCCACCACACCCAGCTAATTTTTGTATTTTTAGCTGAGATGGGGTTTCACCATTTGGCCAGGATGGTCTTGATCTCTTGACCTCGTGATCCAACTGCCTCAACTTCCCAAAGTGCTGGGATTACAGGCATGAGCCACTGCACCCAGCCTCTTTAGAGATTCTTAATAAACCAAGTATGTCTATGATTTTAGATACATAGCATTTTGATCCTGAGCCTATTCTTCTATAGACTTTCCAGGCTACCTTGAACCTACTGCCACAAAGGCCTTATTATATAACCTGTCCCTTATATTGTTAATATCTCTAGATGTAAAACTCATTTCAGATAAGCTGCGTTATAGTTCTCAGGCTTGGGGTGGGGGGGTCTGAATTTTTTCCAGAACATTAGTCAAATTAACTTGGGAGACATTTCAATAATATTTAATGTAGTTATCAGATTACCATCACTGGCAATTAAATGACTATAGTAAACTAGATATTTTACTATAAAAAGTTGGAAGAGTCTGTCAGGTAATAGCACTTTTATCTAAAGTGGTTTGTAAAGCCAATATGACGAAATTGAGAGTAAAAGCTTTCCTTTATAGAAAACATACTACAATAATTTGGGTATAAGAAGAGATGCCAATTAATACTGAAATATTTGGCTCTAGCTACTGCCACGAAATCAATGTATTTCATTCTTAAATGCATGTTGATTTAACCAGCAGCCCCCCTTTTCTATGCAACCAAGCAGAATCCCAAAAGTCAGCAAAATAGAACAAAAGCATAAATCTTGCTCATTATACAAATTGTTAAACACTCAAAGAAATAACAAAGATATATTATTTGTATTCCTCATAGCTAAGAGGATTTTATTTCTTCTGTAAAAATCTAGGCTGGGGTGCGTTGGCTCATGCCTGTAATCCCAGCACTTTGGGAGGCCGAGGTGGGCAGATCACCTGAGGTCAGGAGTTTGAGACCAGCTGGCCAACATGGGGAAACCCCATCCCTACTAAAAATACAAAAATTAGCCGGGCATGGTGGCGTGGGCCTGTAATTCCAGCAACTTGGGAGGCTGAGGTTGCAGTGAGCTGAGATCGTGCCACTGCACCTCAGCCTGGGTGACAGAGCGAGAGTCCGTTGGGAAAAAAATAATCTAAAAGATATCCAATATTTAATATTTCTTACCTCTAAAATTCCTTTTCTTTTCTTTTCTTCACTGTCTGTGAATCCACTTATGATTTGATAACAGTCTTTACAAACTTTGCTCAATTTACCACCATCATATTCAAGTTGAGCTTTGTAGTCGGAGCATTTCCAACAAACCACCTTAAATTTAAAAGAAAAATGAACAGTAATCATATTTAAAGGATATGATTTAAGCAGTAATCAGTTATAGGTAATAATAAATGAGAAAATGTTAAGCATAGAAGGCAGATTTTTGTTAGAAAAGGAACATCCCTATAAACACTAGAAGTACATATCAAGGTGTTTCAACCCTGTTTGTGACCAGCTCTGCTCACTCATCCTTTTCCTGGCCTCTAAAGGTAGAAGACCTTCAAAGACTTTGACTCTTCATACTTCTGGATGTTCATCAACATCCTTTCCAAACTGCTCACGAACTTCCCTGGTCTCTCTTAGCCCATCCCACCCCCTCCTCCCAACCCGGTCCCCTCTCACAGTCCTCTCTATTGCAGGAAATGGGGCAGTCATACAACTGGTCCTGTGTCAGACACATAGGAGTCATCCCCAGAACCTCTTTCGATCTTACCCAAAGATTTTCCATTTTACAAAGTCCCGCTGATTTTACTTCCTAAATATTTCTTAAATCTATTTTTCCACAACTTCCTTATAAGCACCCAAGTCCATGGCGTTTTAGTTTGGCTTCTTTTCTAGGCTTGTGACTGGTCCTTGTAGCATTCTTACTGGTTTACAGGCCTCCACTCTTAAACCTCCTCCAAGCTGTATCTTCCAAACAGTGGAGTGACACCCTCTTAAAAATGCTAATCTGACTGGGTGTGGTGGCTCACACCTATAATCTCAGCACTTTGGGAGGCCGAGAAGGGCAGATGCTTGAGTCCAGGAGTTCCAGACCAGCCTAGATGGAGTGCTAGTGCACTCCAGCCTGGGTGACAAAGCAAGACCCTGTCTCAAAAAAAAAAAATAAATAAATAAATAAATAAATAAAAATAAAAATAAAAATAAAGCTACTCTGATTTATTCCTCTTCTATTTAAAATCTTTCAGACTTTCCTTTGCTCTTGGCTAAAGAACCAACTCTTAATCATGGCCTCCAAAGTCCTGCATAATTTGCCCTCTTTCTGGACTCTGTCTTCAGTGACACTGGCTTCTTATAGTTCCCAAAGGCCATGCTCCCTGCCTCTCTCCTCTCTCCTTCACTGAGTTAACTTAACGCTCACCCTTCAGATGTTGGCTCAAACTCCAGTTCCTCAAGGAGGACTCCTCCAAACCCCAGGACACAGAGTGTCTACTGTCAGTGTTCTCTGTGTTTTCTTTCATAGCACTGACTACAGCTTTTAATTTTATTCCTGTATTATTATTTGATTGTTTATCTCCCTTATAGGGCTGTAAGCTCCAGGAGAGACTGTCTTTGAATGAATGAATATGATGCAAATGTGTATTACTTCTTAGTGATAACTTTTCTCTATTATAGAATAATTGTTTAAAATCTTCTAGTTTAACACATTATCTTCTTGCTTATAGAAGTGTATTTCCCCCTCAGTTTATAGTAGATAAATTATATTAAAGAAAATATATTAGTCAAATTTTTGGTGTAGATTTATAGCATTTAAAATTCATGATAAAAATGGTCTACTGTTTGCTCATAATTACAATGAAATTACTCTGGGATTTAGAATTAGACATACCTGTAACCGCAAACTCATTACCATCCATTTTGTTTATTTTCAAATCATAGCACAGTATTTTGACAATGCACATGCAAACACATTTTTTCTTTGCTTACTGAAGGCAAGTATGCCAATATCAAAAATCATTTCAATCAAACTCAGTGACAGATTTTTAAAAGTCTTACCCTGATAAAAAAGCTGTTTGGGCCAGACATGGTGGCTCATGCTTGCAATCACAGCACTTTGGGAGGCCAAAGCAGGCAGATCACGAGGTCAGGAGTTCAAGACCAGCCTGGCCAGCATGGTGAAACCCCGTCTCTACTAAAAATACAAAAAATTAGCCGGGCATGGTGAAGCCCGCCTGTAGTCCCAGCTACTTGGAAGGCTGAGGCAGAAGAATTGCTTGAACCCAGCAGGTGGAGGTTGCAGTGAGCCAAGATCGCGCCAGTGCACTCCAGCCCGGGTGACAGAGCGAGACTCCGCCTCAAAAAAAAAAAAAAAAAAAGCTGTTTGCTCTCAATTTAATTTTAATCACAAAAGTACTGTAGTGAGTCAAAAATAAGTCTGAGGAAAATAGGAAGAATAAGCTAAAACAACTATCAATATGAATTGTTGCACTTAAGCACACAAATAATATATTCACTCATGACACTGGGAACACCTACTGTTTTCTGTGTCTCCCATTCCTTTTAGGAGAAAGGCTATGATCTTTAACTTGGTTTACAAGGCCCTCCAAAAACTGCCACTGCCTCTCTCCAGCTTCATTCCATAGTTTGTTCCTCACTTTCCATATGAAACTCAGCTCAATGGCTGACCAAATCATGATCAAACTATGTTTATATGTAGCATCAATACATTTAAATATTAGCAATATAGTTATTAACTTACAATCAGAAACATATTTTTGGATAAGGAACTTGAAACTGCATAAACAACAGGGGAATTTATGAAGTATCAAAGAAACACAAAAACCAGAAAAATTATGTTTTTATAGAAGTTTATATAATTTTTTTTTTATTTTTTTGAGATGGGGTCAAGACCTGGGGTCTGTCACCCAGGCTGGAGTGCAGTGGTGTGATCTCGGCTCACAGCAGCCTTGACCTCCTGAGCTCAAGCCGTCCTCCCACCTCAGCCTCCTGAGTAGCTGGGACTACGGGTGTGTGCCACCACACCAGGCTAATTTTTTTTTTTTTTTTGACATAGTCTCACTCTGTTGCCAGGCTGGAGTGCAGTGGCGCGATCTCGGCTCACTGCAATCTCCACCTCCTAGGTTCAAGCCATTCTCCTGCCTCAGCCTCCCGAGTATCTGGGATTACAAGCACATGCCACCACACCCAGCTAATTTTTGTATTTTTAGTAGAGACGGGGTTTCACCATGTGCATGTGCAGGATGGTCATGATCTCCTGACCTTGTGATCCACCTGCCTCGGCCTCCTAAAGTGCTGGGATTACAGGCATGAGCCACTGCACCCAGCCAATTTTTATATTTTTGGTAGAGACAGAGTTTCACCATGTTGCCCAGGCTTGTCTCAAATTCCTGGCCTCAAGCAATCCTCCTGCCTCAACCTCCCTCCGAAAGTGCTGGGATTATAGGTGTGAGCTACCATGCCCAGCTGAAGTTTATATAGCATTAAGATATAGAAAGACTATGTAAACAGTCATAACGAAATACATAACCACGATTAAATATGTTTTTGACTCTTGCTGCTGTCAGTATGACAGTCTAGGTAGATACTCTGAGAAGAATTTTGCTATAATACGACTGGATCCTGGACAAAAATACAGCAAATAATTGTAATGCTTTGCTTCTTTACGTTAAAGTAAGAGAATTTTCCAAGGCCCCCAAACCCAATGAACAAACAAAATAACACACACACAGTAAGCTGAAATTGTAATGGTGAATGAATAGAGCAAACAAAGCTTGGGATGGACAGTGCTGGGATTAGGAGACAGCCCATGGGGCCTGGAGGACACGGGAGAGCTGACCTGAGACTCGGTCATTACGCCAAAACTTATGAAAGGAAGATAATGAACTATCAACCAAATAAGAGCTCACAATGAGAAGAGACCAATTACAGCAGAAAGCAAGGCTCCAGGAACTAGAATTTAGTAGAAACAACAGATTTGGAATCTTTGAAATGTCTTCAGCTACTGACATTATTAGATACAAATTTGAAAATTACATAAGAAATGTTTGAAAACATAAAGTGGCAAACAACAAACACTATCAAAAATGATCAGGCAGATTTGGAAGGAAAAACTTTTGGAAATAATTAAAAATTAAAAATGAACAAAACAGCAGATTTGCTACAACTGAACAGTAAATGAACAAAATGGGAGATAGAGATGAATAAAATGCTATAGAGAGAGACACAGAGATAAAAACAGGAGAGACATGGAAGATGGAATGAGATGATGTTATATATATCTGAATTGAATCCCACAGGGAGACAGTAAGAAAAAAGAAAAACAAATAACAGAAATAACATATCATAACTTTTCTATGAGTCCATTTCTGAATTATATAATGGAGAAAATAGAACCTTCCTCACAGGGTAATTGAGAAACTATAAGCAACAGTATACACAACACACTTCAAACAATGCCTGGCACTGGTACATCATAAATGGTAACTGCTGTTATTTTTATTTCTGCTCCTCTCCCCTTCATTTCAACTTGCTTCATTTTTCTATTTCTTATGTCAATTAACAGCACACTACCATTTACCCAGTCACCCAAATCTTAACATTAAAGTCATTCCTGACTACTTACTCCCTGTCTTCCTCAACTCTTTCTTCATTGAACCAATTCCCTTTAAGGTGTGATCAAATCTAAGCATCTTACCATGGCATCTCTGGCTCTCAATGACCTGATTCCTACCTACACCATTCCAGCCTCAGTTTTCTGCCAGTCCTGTCTTACAGTGCTTACTCCAATACCAAGCAGCTTGTGTCCACCAATATATAACATGTGTATCTTCAGGGTGAAGCATGGTTCTTTAGATACTCAGGAAGCACCATTCTTTAGGCTGCCATGCCACCAAGGAAACATTTGGGATCACAGCAATAGGTCTGGGTGCCTACCCTTATCTCAAACACCAGTAGAATTCACTTCATGTCATGCCCCACTTTCCTGTTTATCTCAGATCCCAGGAAAAGGCCCAGCTCTCTGGTTATTTTCTCAGCCTCATCCCCAAACATATTGCTCTTTACATAATTTTTTTTTTAGACGGTCTTGCTCTGTCGCCCAGGCTGGAGTGCAATGGCGCAATCTCGGCTCATCACAACCTCCGCCTCCCCGGTTCAAGTGATTCTCCGGCCTCAGCTGGAATTACAGGCATGCACCACCATGCCCGGCTAATTTTGTATTTTTAGTAGAGACGGGATTTCTCCGTGTTGGTCAGGCTGGTCTTGAACTCCCGACCTCAGGAGATCGACCCGTCTCAGCCTCCCAAAGTGCTGGGATTACAGGTGTAAGCCACTGCGCCTGGCCTCTGTACATAATTTAATCTAGTTCAGTCGCCATCTCCCACTTTCCCCTCCATGCCCTTCCACTGGGACCTTTGGACCTTTCACTCTAGAATCAAACTCTTCCATATCCTCAGGCTCTTTTCTCTAGTGGAGGCTTTTTTTTTTCCCACTTCACCTTCTGTCACCTCTGAGACCTCAGGGCTGAGAATTGAGGCTTGTATTCCCTGACTCTTTTCTTGCCTTCAAAAACCCCTGGCAGCTCTGAGGCCCATCATCATCTGGCTCTACCCATCTCCCCTACTGAGTTAGCATCTCCTTATCATCTGCCCCACACCCATTCACTCAGGAATTTCTCACTAACGGATCATAGTTCTCTGCTCTACCACAATGTCTGTGGACTTCAACATTTACATGACAAGCCCAACTCTACCGCCTTATGTCTCTGCTGCCAGCGCTGTGCAGTCTACCTTAGCTGTTCAATCTCATGGTCACCCCCGGGACTGTGTCACCATCAGAGGGTGAACCATATCTGGCATGCCAGGTTCACATATCCCATTTTTTTCACCAACATCTCTCTTATTTCTAATTCATTGCCCCCAAGATGTCCGCTACCATACATCTCTGAACTTACCGAAATTCTTCTGTCCACTGACCCCGCCACTTTCTCATTAACCATCAGCCTGTTTCCTAGCTTTCCTGCTCTTTTTATCCAATTGAGACTTCTCTTATTCATTATTAACTCTCTGATGTAAATACTTCCCTTCTCTTCCAGTGTTTTTCTCATTATACTACTCTGGATAAACCGTGCTATCTGCCTTCGCTGGCCTGAGTTGCTATATCTTGTTAGAGAAAAATCATTGCCATTAAGCTGACGAGTGTCCCTTTAAATTTATAACTGTAAATTTCTAACAGGTGCCCAAGTCCACCTTTGTTTCTCTACTAGGCTCACTTTTCTCTGCCCAGAGAAAATCTTCACACTTAGTCCTCTTTCTTGAATCTCCCCATCTCCTCCTCCTTCCCCTTAACTTTCAACTGATGACTCTACTTCATTCTTCAGTGAACACACAGATATTGCATCAAAATGGGGCCAGGTGCAGTGGCTCACGCCTGTAATCCCAGCACTTTGGGAGGCCGAGGTGGGCAGGTCACAAAGTCAGGAGTTCGAGACCAGCCTGGCCAACATGGTGAAACCCCGTCTGTACTAAAGATACAAAAAATTAGCCAGGCGTGGTGGTGCATGCCCAAAATCCCAGCTACTTGGGAGGCTGAGGCAGGAGAATCACTTGAACCCGGGAGGTGGAGGTTGCAGTGAGCCAAGATCACAACATTGCACTCCAGCCTGGGCGATAGGGTGAGACTCTGTCTCAAAAAAAAAAGAAAAAAAATGTATTTAGCCGGACGTGGTGGCTCACGCCTGTAACCCAGCACTTTGGGAGGCCGAGGCGGGCGGATCACCTGAGGTCGGGAGTTCAAGACCAGCCTGACCAACATGGAGAAACCCCATCCCTACTAAAAATACAGAAATCAGCCAGGTGTGGTGGCACACGCCTGTAATTCTAGCTGCTAGGCAGGCTGAGGCAGGAGAATCGCTTGAACCCGGGAGGCGGAGGTTGCGGTGAACCGAGATCGCATCATTGCACTCCAGCCTGGGCAACAAGAGCAAAACTCCGTCTCAAAAACAAAAAACAAAACAAAAAAAACCAAATAAATAGATATTGCACCTAAACTCCCTCATTTCTCACCACCAGAACAACAAAAACGCCAACTTACCCACATTTATACACATCTTTTTCTTCTTCCTCTCTGATATAATGGAGGAAGCTTTCCTCTCCCCATCAAAGCCAGAACATCTACTTGTACTGTGGGTTCCATCTATTCTTGTTTCTCATAGATATCCCTTGGCCATTATTTATCTAACGTTCCTCCTCTTACTCATCATGCTCCAGCCTCATGATCTTTGGCAGTCTCATGAAGAGACCAAGTTCCTTCTTACCTCAGGGTCTTTGCATATAGACTTTCACTGTCTGAAGTTTTTCCCTGTCTCTATTGATTATTAGCTCTTTCTCAACCCCCTTTTTTTTTTTTTTTTTTTCTGAGATGGAGTTTCACTCTTGCTGCCCGGGCTGGAGTGCAATGGTGCGATCTCAGCTCACTGCAACCTCCGCCTTCTGGGTTCAAGTGATTCTCCTGCCTCAGCCTCCCAAGTAGCTGGGATTACAGGCATGCGCCGCCACGCCTGGCTAATTTTGTATTTTTAGTAAAGACGGGATTTCACCATGTTGGTCAGGCTGGTCTCAAACTCCTGACCTCAGGTGATCTGCCTGCCTCGGCCTCCCAAAGTGCTGGGATTATAGGCGTAAGCCACTGCGCCCAGCCCCTTTCTCAATCTTTTAAGCATCAACTTAAATACCAACCCCTCAGATAGGTCTCTTTTTCTAACCAAAATTGGTTCCAAATCTTCCTCTGTTACTAATACTGTCCATTTTTAACTTCTCAATTGCTTTTTTATTTCATCTATAGTAATTTGAAATTCTTATTTGTCTGTCTTCCCCATTACAACGTAAGCTCTGTAAAGCCAGGGAACATTTTGTCTAACGTTTTTTCTCCAGGGCTCAGCACAGTCCTCTGCACGTAATTGGCACCAAAATAAATTTATTAAGTGATTTGTTGAAAGTCATTTTTTTGTGTGTCCCTAGTTGATGACTTTACATCACTTATATAGTTACTAGCAACCTTAATGATCAAGAAATCTCACTTACATATCCACATGCTCGACAATGATGCCTCCTTCGTGTCAGTGCATTGAAAGGTTCTTTACATTTCATACACATTGTCACTTCATTATCTCGGATCCATCTTGGGGCTCTTTTCCCTAGCTCAGCAGTCTAAAAAGGGAAGAAAGATTCAATTTTAATAGAAAAAAACTATAATTCCCTTTTATTATTATTTTTTGAAAGAACTTTAACTACATTGCTCAAACCATGTTCTGAACTATAATCCCAGCACTTTCGGAAGCTGAGGCAGGCGGATCACCTGAAGTCAGTAGTTCAAGACCAGTCTGGCCAACATGGTGAAACCCTCTCTCTACTAAAAATACAAAAATTAGCTGGGCATGGTGGCATGCACGTATAATCCCAGCTACTCGGGAGGCTAAGGCAGGAAAATCGCTTGAACCCGGGAGGCGGAGTTTGCAGTGAGCCAAGACTGTGTCACTGCACTCCAGCTTGGGTGACAGAGCAAGACTCTGTTAAAAAAAAAAAAAAAAAAAAGAATAAGAAAAATTCAAAGAAGTTCAAGTAGAATGAAAAGTCACTCACTATTGTGTTCATCTAAGAAAGAATGAGATTCTGTCTAACCAGCCAGTTCTGACATTGTAAAGGGAAAAGGTTGGAGAACAAAATGATTAGACAGATCTTCTACACCTGCAAAGATATGAAAGAGGTTGAAGTTAAGAATTTAATTCAACTCACAGAAACCTCTGAGTGAATGTCATTATCCTTTGCAATTGCATTTCTGAAGGTTTCATGCCTTTGATGAAAAGCATCGATGGTTTCTTGAAGGGCCTAAAGTATAAGTAAAATTCAAAGCACACATTAAAGTTTCTCATATAAACCAATGAATATACTTTATCAAACAAATATCTATGATAGGAATCACTTTGAAAATTAAGTGAACCTGTTCTGATTACTACATATTAAAACACACACAACAATATATGCACATTTGTATACACAGAGATGTTACTAAAAAACAAAAGTGAAAATAAGCTGGGCGTGGTGGCTCACACCTGTAATCCCAGCACTTTGGGAGACCGAGGCAGGCAGATCGCTTGAGCTCAGGAGTTCGAGATCAGCCTGGGCAGCATGGCAAAACCTCGTCTCTACGAAATACAAAAAAAAAATTAACCAGACATGGTGGTGCACGCCTATAGTCCCAGCTACTCAAGAGGCTGAGATGCAAGGCTTGCTTGAGCCCAGACAGAGGCTGCAGTGAGACATGATCACACCACTGCACTCCAGACTGGGTGAGAGTGAGACTCTGCCTCAAAAAAAAAAAGAAAGAAAAGGAAACAGAAATGAGGCTTACCTTGATCCATTCTTCTTTGTCTTGCGCAGAACTAAAATAAAACAAAATTAAAGTGAATGTAAATAATATTAATGATTCACACTGGGTGAATAAAACTATGCTTTCCTGTTGTTCCAACTTTCTGGAAAATTCAGGGATGTTATGGAAGGAATTATAACAAAAATTAATCTCTGGCAATTAAACAAATAAAATTCTTCTTAAGTAGAGGTTCAGACTATCCACTGACTTTGGTACACATAAAATTTGATGGGGTTAGTTAGGTTTAGCTTCCATTTATATACTGTTTAATAACCATCATTCAGTTAGATATATCAGGTAACTGTATCTATAGCATTACACTGAATATACAACAGCTAATCTTCCAGTTTTCTAAAACACATGAAGGCTACTAAAGGCTACTATTCACAGCCCATCTTAGAAGAGATAATAATTATCTTTGAGAATCTAAAATATCTCCCTAAAGCCTTAGGGAGCTATTTAACATTTCCTTTGATAAACAATTTATTTTCCAGTTCTTAGAAGGCTTTAGGCAATACCAAACCTAACCCCATTTTAGATAAAGAAAAGCATATAAAAATTTTAAATGCCTGTAGGAAGGAGGTTTTACAGATTAATAGACCCCAGTGTTTAGTAATCATCCTTAGAAAACAAATTTCTTTGACTGTAGTCAGGTTTCCTTTTTCCTATAAGGCAAACTTTATTTCCTCTTTCTTGCAGGTAGGTTACGTTGCTGGCTTCTGTCACATACCACATTTGAAAAATCCTCTTTAGTGGACTCTGAACTGGGTAAGAGCTCCAAATTGAAAAATTCTGAAGAGGATCAGAGTGTGCTCTGTCTGTTTGTATGTGCTTGGTAGAGGGGCTAAGTTGAGTTCCAGCCTGAAGGTCACCTGCCTGATTCCTACAGGTATGAAACATGCATGAGACTGGCTGAAGGATTGTTTGTGTGTCACGATCTATCTTTCCAGCAAATTGATTATTGAACACCATGATGTGCCAGGAATGCTGCTGGAATCTGTGTCTGCCAAGTGGAAGCTTCTGCTTATTGTTCACCTGGGGGCTTCAATCTTGCTTCTCAAAATAAAAAAAAAATTTTTTTTAAATTAAAAAACTCTCCTTATTGCTCTGCCTTGCCACCACATTTCTGTTGCCCTGGAAGCACAGTTATCTGCTAGCTGCTTTTAGCTTTTCAAATGCAGAGAAACCCAACAAGTCTTTATAGCTTTTTGTTTTAGTTTTTAGTTATGGTAGATTTTTTTCCCCTTTATATTTTTATTTCCACTTAGCAATAGACAACCATAATAGTATTCTGTATATAAAACAGAATACTTTTTATCTTTTTGAAAGTAGAAGAAGCACAAATGTACTTCAGTCTTGAGGCTGACTCATACTTTAGCAAGAAAAGTGGGATCCTTTTTTCCCAGTTAGCTTCAGAATCAAAAATATAAAAAATCTTTCAATATCTCCAAATATATACCCACTTTTTGATTCCACATAATTCCTATGGCACTCTGACTTTCTTGGAACTTCAGTTTGTCCCATTCTTAAAAGAGCATGATAGGCTGGGTGCAGTGGCTTAGGCCTGTAATCCCAGCACTTTGGGAGGCCGAGGTGGGTGGATCACCTGAGGTCAGGAGTTTGAGACCAGCCTGGACAACATGGTGAAACCCCGTCTCTATTAAAAATAAAAAATTAGCTGGGTGTGGCAGCATGTGCCCATAATCCCAGCTACTCTGGGAAGCTGAGGCAGGAGAATTGCTTGAACCTGGGAGGAGGAGGTTGCAGTGAGCCAAGATCGTGCTATTGCACTCCAGCCTGGGTAACAAGAGCAAAACTCTGCCTCAAAAAAGAGCATGATAGATCATACCAAAAGTAATCACTTAATTCAGATCTTCAATATCACCATATAAGCATAAATATAACTAGAGCAATAAGATTAGGTAAATAAGAAATTTTAGACAGAATAACCATATTTCCAACAAGAATTGGGAGGTATCCAGTACCGTGTTGGATATGTTATAAAGTGATGATTGCCTGTACTTAAGAAAATTCCTCACCAATTAGCCCCATCTTGATGAGAAAATAGCCCAACTGGCTAAAGGAGGACTGAAAGTATCCATTCAGGCAAACTAAGAAACCTGAGAAATATCTACCCTGTAGTTAGACACGTGTCTTGGGTTTGCAGATGGAAGTGTGCTGAAGTTTCAGAGTTAGCAACGCCTTCATTCTTTCTGCAATGAAAACTATGATGATCAGAACTACTGATGAGGCTGGACGCAGTGGCTCATGCCTGTAATCCCAGCACTTTGGAAGGCCAAGGCGGGTGGATCACCTGAGGTCAGTTCAAGACTAGCCTGGCCAAAATGGCGAAACCCCATCTACACTAAAAATACAAAAGTTAGTCGGGCTTGGTGGCAGGCACCTATAGTCCCAGCTACTCGGGAGGCTGAGGCACAAAAATCGCTTGAACCCAGGGTATGGAGGTTGCAGTGGGCCAAGATCATGCCATTGCACTCCAGCCTGGGCAACAGAGTGAGACTCTGTCTCCAAAAAAAAAAAAAAAGTGTTCCCTGTTGCCAGGGCCAGTAGCTCAGTAAATCAACCACTGAGTGAGGACTCAGTCAAGAGCCTTCAGCAGAGCATCATATATTCTGCCCTTGGGTTTGAGGGGCTAGGGCCCAAACCCACCATGAGGTAGGGAAACAATGACACTCAAAGGCAAGTTTCAAATGCTACCTGCTCCCTAAGGAAAAGGAAGTTCAGTATATATTCTCTGTGGAAAAGCAAATAACTGGCTGTTTCTTCAAACTTTCCCAGCCTGCCCACATTCCAAAACTGTAAATTCACCAATTCTTGGACTCCCTGGGCACAGATTCCTGTTAAAATGATTTCTCTTTTTAAAATCTGAAATTTCAGCTTTTAGGCAGTTACTAAGTATGAATATCCAGGGTAAATTCACCTGAGCAGCCAGAAACATAAGCTAATGATGGAAAGGAGCAGAAAAACATTCTGAGTCTCCGTGGATTCTGGGATATTGACACCACTACAGCTAGGATTGGTTCTTCACCCTCTGCTCTGTGACCTCCTGAAGCATCCAAATTTTTACCAGGCCATGCATTAGAACAATAAATGGATGACTTATTATTATTATTGTTATTATTTTTTGAGACAGAGTCTCGCTCTGTTGCCCAGGCTGGAGTGCAGGAACAGGATCATGCCTGGCTAATTTTTGTAGTTTTAGCAAAGACGGGGGTTTTGCCATGTTGGCCAGGCTGGTCTAGAACTCCTAATCTCAAGTGATCCTCCTACCTCAGCCTCCCAAAGTGTTGGGATTACAGGTGTGAGCCACCAAGCCCAGCTTGGATGACTGTTTTCTAAAGCAGGTATTTCAAAACCTGACAGCACTCTGTATTCCAGGGGTTCATGCGTGAGGTAGCTATGATCAACTGCAGTCGTTCTCATGGATTTTTATCCTTTAAAAATGGTTATGGGCCGGGTGTGGTGGCTCATGCCTGTAATCCCAGCACTTTGAGAGGCTGAGGCGGGCAGATCACCTGAGGTCAGGAGTTCGAGACCAGCCTGGTCAACATGGTGAAACCCTGTCTCTATTAAAAATACAAAAATTAGCTCGGGAGGCTGAGGTAGGAGAATGGCGTGAACCCGGGAGGCGGAGCTTGCAGTGAGCCGAGATCAGGGCACTGCACTCCAGCCTGGGAGACAGAGCGAGACTCCGTCTCAAAAAAAAAAAAAAAAAAAAAATTAGCCAGGTGTGGTGGCAGGCGCCTGTAATCCCAGCTACTCAGGAGGCTGAGCCAGGAGAATAGCTTGAACCTGGGAGGCAGAGGCTGCAGTGAGCCGAGACTGCACCATTGCCCTCCAGTCTGGCCAATGAGAGCGAAACTCCATCTCAAAAAAAAAAAAAAAAAAAAAAAGAAAGAAAAAAAATGGTTATGGCTAGGGGAATGTTAGCCAGAACTCCAAACCTTTCTCTCCCAATCAATAAATAAAAATATAAGAAGAGCCATACCTTCTAGAAGTCCTGGTTGCCAGAGGCCACCTGAGCCCCTAATGGCTCCCTTCATGTATCCTGCAACTATGGTGGCGGTAGTTTTACCCTTACCACCTTGCCTCTTATGAACATTTCTTTTCATTTGATTGCCCCTAAGGCCCTAAAATGTAGAGTATCTGAAAGACTCAGAGATTAGCATGGAATAATAAGCATCAATAAACATTTGTGGACCAAAAGGAGGAGTGAACATAGGATTAGGAGAGAACCTTTTACTGTAAGTCAAGACTTGATGGCAATAATTTCATCCTCTGAGTACCCTGTATTTCTGAAGAGTTAATCAATTTACTGAATGCTTATTGTCTACAAACCACTGTCCTAGGCACTATGGAGGAATCAAGAGAGGGGAGACATGACTCCTGCTTTTCAAGAACCTACAGCTCTGCATTTACATCCAACCAGAGTTCCAGAGATATGCAGCATTCACTTGAGAAAAACCCTCAGAGCCATTCTATTTTAATGATTCATTCTGTTGCCTGATTTTGGAAAGCAGTGTGATAGAAATGGTTCCCTTACCTGGCCTGCAGTTCCAGTGTTCTCTCTTTCCCAGACACCTGGAAAGTATGTGGATATTCTTCATTTTGAGTCTCTACAATTTTCATTCCATCAATGCCAACCCTGGTTCGAACTGTGAATTTAGAGCCTACCAAGCTGAATTTGGGCACACAGTACAGCAACATGTTGTTGAACTGCAAGGAACGAGAACATATATCAGTAAAGAAAAGAAATAGGGGAAACTGATCAGGTTTTTTTTTGAGACAGAGTCTCACTCTGTTGCCCAGGCTGGAGTGTAATAGTGTGACCTTGGCTCATTGTAAGCTCTGCCTCCCGGGTTCACGCCATTCTCCTGCCTCAGCCTCCCGGGTAGCTGGGACTACAGGCACCCGCCACCACGTCCGGCTAATTTTTTTTTTGTATTTTTAGTAGAGACAGGGTTTCACTGTGTTAGCCAGGATGGTCTCGATCTCCTGACCTCGTGATCCGCCCGCCTCAGCCTCCCAAAGTGCTGGGATTACAGGTGTGAGCCACCGCACCCGGCTGGAAACAGATCAATTTTAAAGGTAGCCCTAGACAAAAATTCTAAGTAATTTCTAGACAACACAGTACTTCCTGCATGAGAAAAATTATTTACTAAAACACTGAGGTTTATGCTTGTATAAAAAATCATATTCCTACATTTTGAAAAATATATTTCCCATTCATGGCTTATACATATTTTATTGATATTTATGTAAATTAATAATTTTGTACTACTGCACTAAGTAAATTAGTTCAATAAATTCACAACAAATTACTAAGGACCTTTGATATACCAGGAGCTTAATTTCTTAACTTTGTAAGTTCTTAAACACAAGAATTTCTCATTGATGTATCTTAGAGGGCAAGTCTAAAACAAGGTGTTAGAAGACAGTAATATTTAGCAATTATGATTATATCTGAGAGAGGGTCTCACTCTATCACCCAGGCTACAGGACTCACTGCAGTCTTTAACTTCTGGGTTCAAGTCATCCTTCTGCCTCAGCCTTCTGAGTAGGTGGGACTATAGAAACACACCACCATACCCAGCTAGTTTTTCTTAGTAGAGATGAGGTCTTGCTATGTTGCCCAGGCTGGTCTTGAACTCCTGAACTCAAGCAATCCTCCTGCCTTGGCCTCCCAAAGTCCTGGGATTACAGGCGTGAACCACCATGCCCGGCCTCAATTAAAAAATTTTTTTTGTAGATACAGGGTCTAGCTATGTTGCCCAGCCTGGTCTTTAACTCCTGGTCTCAAATAATACTCTCACCTCAGCCTCCCGAAGTGCTGGGATTATAGTGTGAGACATAGCATCTGGTCAGCAATTTTTTTTTTAAACCAGACTGTTTAATGTTAAGCTTTTAAAAAATAGCCTATTTATTAGTTCAAATCTCATTAGAACACGTGAAAAAAAGCTCCAAAAGGTTTTTAATCACCATCCATATCATCGTCTGATTAAGGCCACAGCTTGCTTGCTAAGTTTTTCCTGTTAACACTTCTTTCCCTCTTCTATCAAGGACTTCTCAGGAGGATATTTGGTTGAAGCTGTGAATGTTGCAGGAGCTACAGAGCCACCAGCACAAGGGACAGAGGTCACACATTCCAGCCACCAACAATAACCAAATTGTTCCTGCAAACTGAGTGACAAATGTAATGGTATGGCATAAAATTTGTGAGTTATCCGATACTTGTCCTCAAGTTGGCTTTATAAGTTCAGCACTCATGCTGTTTTATAGAAATAAGTCCATGAATATGAAGGTTCTTAGCATTTGCCATTTGTAGTTACGCTCACATGACAGATTATCTTATAAATGTGTATGTTTCTCCTTCCCTTTCATGCTTTCAGGACTACATCCCCTCTATTATATTCTCCCTAAATGGGACTTCACATTCTAAACTGTCAAAAATCCTATATGAATCTTAAAATAGTTCTGATCACAATATGATGCTAGTCAATAAATATCCTTTTCCTCTTCGCATAGGTGAAGGTGGGAGCTCCCGCACGATAGAAAACATTGCTTACAAAGAAGATTATGTCATATATAGGAAGAAACCAAGTAGCTAGCCCTGTTCCCTCCATGAACCTTGTTCCTGTAGCAAAAGCCACCACCACCTTTCACAAATAATTACTTCTCTTTGGGTTTCCCCAGATACTGAAAAAAGAAGTTATAGCAACTATGGCATGAAGAACATTGACTTTCCCTTTCAGGGTAGGAGATTCCCTTTTATTTCATGCCCATAGCTTAGAAGTAGTGATTGGTGAAGCAATCTCAGACTAGCGAGGCAATTTCTAGAAGTCCTAGGTTGTGATTAAAAACTACAAGCCTCAATATTATTAAAAACACAGGGAGGGTCTTTCTTGATCTCTACTGTTCAAGTATTTATTTCAAGCCTCTAAAAATATATTTGACTGAAATAATTCAATTTGTTTTCTCACCAGTGACAATTTCATTAATGTTTGTTTTCAAAGGTAATAGGATACTGGTGGAGAAAATTTCTAGTGCTCGTTCTGTGTTCAAAGATTAAATAAGGGAAAAATTATCTGCATCTATCAAATTCCAAGGAAATAAGGAACAGAAAACTCCAAAGAGCCAAGAATAAAAAGTCTTGGTTGTTTTGTGGGATAATTTGGTGATTTTATTTTATTTTTTAACTTTTGGATGTCAGACAGTTTATTTCAAGAGTAGCTGCCATGGTTTGAATGTGTAAAAAGCGTGTGTTGGAAACTTAATCCCTAATGCAGAAGTGTTGGGAGATGGGGCTTAATGGTAAGTGTTTGGGTCATGAAGACCCCAATAATCTATGAATTAATCCAGGAATGGATTAATGCTGATTATAAAAGGGCTTGAGGCCATGAGGTGGATTTCTTGCTCTCTCTCTCTCTCTCACCATGTGATGCCTGCCTTCTGCATGTTATGATGCAGTAAGAAGGCCCTCACCAGATGCCAGCCCCGCAATCTTGGACTTCCCAGCCTCCAGAACTGCAGAAAATAAACCCCTGTTCTTTATAAATTAGCCAGTCTCAGGTGTTCTGTGATAGCAACATGAAATGGCTTACATTAAACAGCATCCTACATTAACATAAAAAACAATGAAAAAGTATGGTATGGAGGCATGAAAATATGCAAACACATGAAGATCATTTAAAAGCAGATAGCAGATTCTAAATACAGTTTGGTTTTCCAGACAAATGTATTATCTCAAGTGTAGGAAACAGAAAACTAGCCCTCATTACCTTTCTAGAGAGAAAAGAAAATAAAAATGGTGCTTCTGAAGTTTCTACAAGTAAAAGAACAAGAGGTTCCATGGGAATAAATGTGCACTGGCAAGGCAAGATTCTGTGACAAGCACAGCACTGGAGAGGGTGGATGAAAAGAACCAACATGACACTGGAAATGTTTCTAAGATGGTCTTCAAAGAATAAATGTGGCTCTCCTAAAATTCCTGCCATGTGACCTCATTCTCCTGGGAGGCAACGGCATATGTTTGATGGCTTAAAGTAACTGGAACAGGAGGGGTCTTTTCCTCAGTCACTGACTGCCACTTTCCCCAAGGTTCTTTGCCACCTGGACTCCAAAGAGCTGTTTAATTCAGCTCTGCCTCAAGATATTCAACAGAAACCTCTTTCCAAAACAACTCCCAGAAGTGAAAATTAGGCCGAGGCAATTGGTTAGACCCAGAGCTCAGAGTTTAACTGCAGAGGCTGTCACATTAATGAGGAAGAGGAGAAAGGAAAATGATCCTAGCAACTGAAAGGCAAAGACAGAGGAAAGACATTGGCTCCTGGTTATGTTGCCTAGAATGATGTATTAAGCACGTCTTTTTATTAAGTATTTTTGATTTTAGGCATCTTAAGGCCTTGTTGACACTGACAGGACTGCCCCTCCCAGGATTACCCGATTCCTAGAGAGAGTAACACGCCTTTCATGTGGAAACCAACCAAGTCAGAACTCACACCCGCAGTCACCCCCTGTATTAAACACTTACTCTCTGGGACACTATTCTCCTGCCCCAATCACCTCAGGGCCAGGACAACAGCCCCTAACCCCTAAAGAAATTATTCCAACTAGCCAATCCTAATCCTGGTGCTCTGTCTTGCCCATTCCTTCCTGCAGAAACCACAATAAAGGCTCTTGCCCACGTTTTCTGCTTGCTCCTCTGCCTCCTGACGCTGGTGCTTCCCCACTGCTCTCCCGCTTCATATGCCACACCCCCACCCCACCCCGATCTGCCCTTCCGATGGCAGTCATGTGATCTTTTATAATAGACCTCTGAAGAAGACTCTGAACCCTAACATGACACATCCTTGTTTTCTATTTAGCTATCTATATTACCCGTGAAAGAAGTACTTGTGTTTAGCACAAATGAGAACTTTTATAGTTAATCTGGTAAAAATACACATTTTTAAATTATGAAGATATTCACATACCATAAAATTTACTCTTTTAAAATGTACAAATCATGGTTTTTAGGATAGTTGTAAATTGTGCAACTATCACCAATTCCAGAACATTTTATGTCTCTAAAAGGAAACCTCATATCCATTTTCCATTCCTTGCTAGTCTTAGGGAACCACCAATTACATCCTCTCTCTATGCATTTGCTTTTTCTGGACATTTCATATAAATAGAACCATACTGTATATGGTCTGTTGTAACTGGCATCTTTCACTTGACACAACATTTTAAGGTTAATCCATGTAGCATATATAAGTTTTTATTCCTTTTTCTCGACATATACTATTTCATTGCATGAACATACCACATTTTGTTTACCTATTCAGTTAATGGACATTTAGGTTGTCTCAAATTTTTTGGCTATTATGAATAATGCTGTTATGGACAAAGATGTGCAAGTTTTTGTGCAGACACATGTTTTCAATTTTCTTGAGTTATAAAAACTTGGAGTAGAACTAGTGGGTCATATAGCAACCAAATTCTTTTAAAAACATGACTGACACAAAAAGACTTTTAAAAGTTTGTGGAAAAATGGAATTAAAAGAAAAAATTTATTTCAACCTAAGCTCTACCAAGTTCAATTTTGTAATCAATGATAGCAGCCATTTAATCCATCCTAAAGAACTGAGGGTCTTGAGAATTTTACCATGGCAATGCAGTAGTTTTTACACTATTAACTGAAGAAAATGGGTGTCCTTTATAGATTCTTTAAGATTAGGAAACAAAAAGAAGTCAGAGGACTGTAAGGTGTACGCTTAATGATTCTCTGTCAAAACTCTCGAAAAATTGCCCTTGTTTGATGAGAATAATGAGCAAGAACATTGTCATGGTTTAGAAGGACTCTTTGGAGAAGCTTTCCTGGGTGTTTTTCTGCTAAAATCTTTTGCTAGTTTTCTCCAAGTCATCTCATAATAAGCAGATGTTATTGTTCTTTGGCCCTCGAGAAAGTCAGCAGGCATATTGCCTTGAGCATCCCAAAAAACCCCTGCCATGACCTTTGCTCTTGACTGGACCTCTTTTGCTTTGACTGGACCACTTCTACCTGTTGGTAACCATTGCTCTGATTGTGTTTTGTCTTCAGGATCGTACTGGGAAAGCCATGTTTCATCTCCTGTTACAATTTATTGTAGAAATGCTTTAGAAGCTTGATGCCACTTATTTAAGATTTCCACCAAAAGTTCTGCTCTTGTCTGCAGCTGATCTGGGTGCAACATTTTTGGTACCCATTGAGTGGAAAGTTGCTTAACTTTAATTTTTCGGTCAGACTTGTGCAAGATGAACCCCAATGAGATGTCTGTGGTATTGGCTACTGCTTCTGCTGTTCATTGTCAGTCCTCTTCAATTAGGGCAGGAAAAAGATGAACTTTTTCCTAGCAAAAGGATGTGGATGGTCTGCTGCTGCAGGTTTCATCTTCAACAATGTCTTGTCCCTTCTTAAAATTAGTTACCCATTTGTAAACTGCTGATTTCTTTGCGGCATTGTCTCCATTAACTTTTCATGAAGTGTCAATGATTTTATCATTTTTGCATCCAAACTTCACCGTAAGTTTGATGTTTGTTCTTGCTTCAATTTTAACAGAATTCATGTTGCTTTGATAGGGGCTCTTTTCAACCTGATGTCTTTATTTTTTATTTATTTATTTTTCTGAGACAGGGTCTCACTCTGTCACCCAGGCTGGGTGGCATGGTCATACCTCAGTGCAGCCTTGGAACTCTTTGGCTCAAGAGATCCTCCTGCCTCAGTAGCTAGGATCCTCCTCCTCTCAAGTAGCTAGGAGTACAGGTGCAAGCTACCATGCCCAGCTAATTTTTAAATTTTTTGTAGAGACAGGGAGGTCTCTGTATGTTACCCAGGTTGGTCTTGAACTCCTAAGCTCAAGCCATCTTCCTGTCTCAACTTCCCAAAGTGCTGGTATTAGAGGTATGAGCCACTGTGCCTGGCCTCAAACTGATGTCTTATCCTTCTTAGTGCCCCAAACCAGATACTGTTCAGACATGTTATAACAAGTTACTATGGGTTTATTTTGTTGCAAAAAAAGCTTTGAAATCTACGCATAGTTTTTTCATAACATGCATTTTCCATGAACTTTTTCAAGACCCCTTGTACTGAACACCCCTCTGCATGACAATTAGTTCCTAAGTTTTCCTTTCAATGGAGACTGGAAACAGACACAGAAGCCTCTAAGCCCCCATGACAACTCATGCTATGGTGGGTGAGATGACTGCCTCAGAGCAGAAAAGTCAGACATGAATAACATCCTAAGAACGTACTGTATGCCAGTCACCAGGCAGCCTTTTCACCCATGTGTCTGTTTCTCTTTAATAACAATTAGAATGAAAGCTAACGTTTATTAAGCTATTATTCAATGTTAGCTTATTCTTTGTCAATGCATATTATTATGATTCTTATTATCATCTTATTAGATATAGAAAGGAATTGAAATTCATTAGGATAACAAAGAGTAAAGGTCAGGTGGACAGAATCCAAAGAAAAAAAAATTGTCTGGATGCCCCAGGAAGTGCTCTTATATTTGAGATAAGCCCCAGACTGTCATTTCCAGGAAGTGAAGGAAAGGGTCAAGGACTGACTGCAGTGAGAAAGAACTGTGTAGAGAACTCATGTACTTTTCCCATAGATATTTTAGACACAAGACTTACAACCAGGCTTATATATATTTTTAGCCTAGAAAGATTAAAAATAGTGACTACAGAGGATTAGGAAGAGAATTGATGTCAGGAAATGATACACCAACAAAATATCCAGGAAATGGTACCCAATTACCTGAGAATGAAATGAAAGAGAAAATCTGAAACAAGCAAAAGGAGGATTTCCGAAAGTATCATATCCCACGTGTGTAAAGTTAAATTGTTGTCAGTATGTGCTACTGAAGTAAATTATACTGTCAAAGGATCCTTGGGGTGTTGCTTTGTCAGCTGGACACCTTTGTGGCCAGTGGCTCCTTTGCCTGAGTTCTGCTTGGGCCTGCTGGGCTCATTCTGCCCATTCGGCCTGGCAGGCTGCGCTTGGTTTGTGCTACCAGCCCAGATCCCAGGCCTGCCAAAGGCGAGCCTGGAGCAGCAAGGGGTACGTGAATGAGCGAGCACAGGGTCCGGGTCACGCGCACAGCCAGGCATGCTGGCTACAGCAATGGGAGCATTTCTAGGCACCAGCATGGGCACCGGCTCCCTGCAAAGCTGTGGCTGGAGCAAGCGTACTGCAAGTGGCTTCCACTGCTGGCACTGGGGAACATGCAGGCCCACACCAAGCCACCCTCAGCAACCCCTTGGCTTCCCTCCCATGCTCATTGGCACCAAAGTCTGGAAGGGGCTGAGATACCAGGGGGCTGGCATATCAGCGCTGCCCCAAGTGTGTGCACACCCTGCCGGTTTGCAACAGCACCTAGGCTTGGCTCCAAATTTGCTCCGAAATCGGAACAGGCATTGGGAGCGGGGAGAGGCCAGGCAGTGGGAGCAGGCATTTCTGAGCCTGCAGGGGTACAGGGGGCTTCCCGGGCCCCTGAGAGCACAGGAATGCCTGAGTCGGCAGCTGCGGCTGGGTAGCTGCCCTGGCCATGCCTCCCCCGCTGCAACCAGCATCACTGCAGCAACTGCTCCAGATGGGCCACTACTGCCTGCCATCCATACCAAGTATACAGAAAAATACGTTACTTAGAATATTTCCCTAAATTGAATCCCTAAATGGAATATTCCCTAAATGGAATGTTGACTAAACCAGGTTAGATGTAATTGCTTTGGTGAATAAGGAAACATTCTATTTTTCCAAGGTGTATACAACTATTTTTATATATAATTCCTTTTTTTTAGATGGAGTCTCGCTCTGTCATTCAGACTGGAGTGCAGTGGCACGATCTCAGCTCACTACAACCAGCTCACTTCCCAGGTTCAAGCAATTCTCCTGCCTCATCCTCTTGAGTAGTTGGGATTACAGGCACCCGCCACCACACTCAGCTACTTTTTGTATTTTTAGTAGACTGGTCTCAAACTCCTGACCTCAGGAGATCCACTCGCCTCGGCCTCCCAAAGTGCTGGGATTACAGGCATGAGCCACCGTGCCCAGCCATATTTTTATATATAATTCTTATATGACTTGCCAACACTATAATACTCACTAAGAAAAGGTAGCGTTCTTGTGCTGAAGTGTTCCGAGCAGCTAGTTTGAGGATCTGTCCTTCTTTTATTAGTTCATTTGAAGGGTTTACAATGTCTTCTTCTTCTCCCAACATTTCATAAATCTCTAAGAGTTTCTTTAGGTTCTCCTAGGAAATTAAAACAGCAAGATCACATACAGGCAGGTTTCAACCTAGTAGCTTTAATAATACTATGACCTTAACTAAAATCTAAATTTAGAAGGGATTAGGAGTAAGCATACATTTTAATATAAATTCCATCACTTATTAGCAAGTTCAGAGAATTATTCCAGATAACATTAAACATTTCATAAACATTCTTTTTGGCTCATCTATTTCAATTCACTTTGGTCCAAATCTACATAGTATTGAGGCAGTATTATTGATAATTGTCTAATCAGAGGTTCCTGTCTCCTCCGAAAACCACTTACCATTTTCCTTATTGCACTATTAGAATGGCTTGCTGCTGTAGATATAATTTCAAGTGATTCTAAATGGGAAAAAAAGAAAAGTAAATAAATATGCTTTGTCCTTCCTGTGCTTCTATATAGCTGAGTAACTTACTAAATTAAGAAGTCTGAGACCAAAGATACAACAAAAATAGTGGCATTTTCCATTTATAAACGGTATATACTTTCTAAAGTTCATTTGTAAGCAGATTACTTGAAACTTCGTATTTCCTTATAAAAAGTCATACATGATGATTTAGGCTCACAGGTTTAATTAATCCCCAATGAACCATCAAAATTAATAAGCAGAGATAGAAACATCACTGCTTTTCCTTAGTTCATCTCTTGAGCTGTGGCCCCAGCCCAACTTATTTTGTCTCCCTCTCTCCTGGATCCTGTATTGAGTGCACAGAATTGCCCAAATCAGAATAGTTCTCCAAAATGTAAACAAAAATTCAGTTTCTTCTATACTCAGACTTTGAAACTTACAGTGTATACTAAATCCATACCAGGTACTTTATTACAATATCAATTCTTACACAGCCTTAAACCATTAAGTATTTTAGCTCCATTTGGCAGATGAATGAAATGGGGAAGTAATACAACTTGGCTGAGGTCACACAGCTATGCTATTGAAGGGCCAGATTTAAACCCAGGTTTCTGACTCAAAAGTTCTAAAATATTTCATGAGTAGTAAGTATTTTACTAGTTGTATGAGCAAATTAACCACTAAGCATAACCTACTTTCTTTGGGAAAATACATTCACAGTTCTAGCCTGGGTCGGGTGAAAGGGAATCTTCTGAGGCCAGTGTTGGAGGGTTTTGTTCCTGGGGCAGGTGGGAATGGGAACTCTTTGGTGTGGACATCGTAGGAGCTCCAGAGGCTGCTGGTGAAGTGCTGTGGATGCCGAGACCTCTTGCTGGACTAACCCTAGGAAAAACCTCTCAATCCTAAATCATGTCCCATTTTCTTCCTTTCTTTTCTGTTTTGTGAATACCGGCCTGCTTAATTCTGTTACCACAACAACCCTGAGACTTTTCAACTACATTTTTTGTCTTCAGTGTACTGCTGGACAGAATGCATTTTGTTGCTTTCATTTCTACTTTTAGGTCACCAAAAAGCCCTTCTTCTGTGATTTCCTTGGAATTTGAGTGAAAGTAGCAATGGAAAACAAACAAAAAGCAATAAAATGCCATACCATGTCACCAACTTTCTCATTTTTGACATGGGCATCTAAGGGGATACCAAAGTCTGAGTGTAGAATAAACTGAATTTTAATTTACATTTTAAAGAACTATTCTGATGTGGGCGATGCTGTGCACTTGATACAGGATCCAGGATAGAGGAAGACAAAATAAGATGGGATAAAGCCACTGCTCTAGAGATGAATTTGAGGAAAAGCAGTAGTGTTTCCACCTCCACCCCCACCACTAGATCTGCCACTCAAATCAAGCAGTCAGGTGAGATGGATGGAAAATGGAGACAGGGAAGAATTCATAGGAAGTAGTTGGTTTGAGGAGATGGCAAGCCGAGTTCATCCTACACTATGGAAGGGGCCAATGGAGAAGAGAAGTTTCTGTGGTCAGAGTCACTCAAATGATGGGAGAAACACATCTGAGACAGCTTGTGTTCTAGAAAAGGCTAAGGATCAGGGCCAGAAGCAGTGGCTCACACCTGTAATCCCAGCACTTTGGGAAGCTGAGGTGGGTGGATCATCTGAGGTCAGGAGTTTAAGACCAGCCTGGCCAACATGGTGAAAACCCGTCTCTACTAAAATCACAAAAATTAGCTGAATGGCTTGAACTCGGGAGGTGGAGGTTGCAGTGAGCTAAGATCGCGCCACTGCACTCCAGCCTGGGCAACAGGGTGTGACTCTGTGTCAAAATAATAATAGTAATAATAACAACAATAATAATTTAAAAAGAAAAGGTTAAGGATCCAAGACAAAAAATGTTTTACGTACTTCGTCTCTCATCCAGGTTCACTTATGACAGAAAACAAGAAATTACAAGGGAAAGTAGCAATGTTTTAAGGTTGTACACAAGTACAACCACTGCTTGTTGAATATCAAGCCACTGTTATTTCTTAAATTTTCATTCATGCCTTTACAGTTGATTTGTAAAAGTGCAGAAAAAGGTAAAGTATTATTGAAACTCATAAGCCTTTAAAAAAACCCCTTTCATTATAATCTGATGAAAAAATAAGACATCTAACATAATTGAAATACATTTTTCTTGAAGAAAATGTTATTGGACAATAAAAAGCACCATTTCCTGTTATGGTAGCACGTTAGGGCAGGTGCAGCCAACTCTGCTTAGGTTATTTTTACATAGTGAATGTCACCTTAGCTTTCTTGGTATGCACCAACCTATCTAATTAAACAGGAGCACTTGTAATTCTGAATGGCTATATTCTTCCTCTGACAAGGAAATTGTGTATTGCTATTCTAGATGTCTTTAAGACTATAATTTTATATTTCAGAGCCAGTGACTAACATGGAACCAGCAAAATTAATGTGATTTGCATTGCTCTAAACTTGTCATTTTGGCTCAAAAGTGACTTGCCTAACTGAAGTGATGATAACAATTTCCAATGAAATTATCTTCTAACAGCAACATTTGACTAAAGTAGCTGTGAGATGTATTTCTCTTTGAAACCATAAGGCTGCTTGGCCACTTGATTATTCCAAAATAGGGAGAAAACAAAAAAAAAGCATTTACTTTTAGCATCATTCCAGTCCAGGGAATCAGGAGGCAATTTCCTTAGATAGTCCTTAAGGAGCATCTCATACCGGGGAATCCGCTGAACAGGTTCTAGCATGTGATGCTGCAAAGTTAAGCTCCCACAGATTTTCTGTTTCTGTAATGAGAAAGGTTTTCTAAGAAACATTTAAAAATTAGGTTAGCAAGTCTAAAAACTCACTGTAAAACAGAACTTTCGTCAAGGGCAATATTTTTCGACAAAGTGTGACTGTCCATCACCTGCATGAAATGCAGATTTCTGGCCAGGCACAGTGTCTCACACCTGTAATCCCAGCACTGTGGGAGGCTGAGACAGGTGGATCACCTGAGATCAGGGTTTGAGACCAGCCCGGCCAACATGGCAAAACCCCGCCTCTACTAAAAATACAAAAATTAGCCAGGCGTGGTGGCACACGCCTGTAGTCCCAGCTATGCGGAGGCTGAGCCTGAGGCAGGAGAATTGCTTGAACCTGGGAGGCGGAGGTTTCAGTGAGCCAAGATCGTGCCACTTAGCCTGGGTGACAGAGTGAGACTCCGTCTCAAAAAAAACAACAACAACAACAGAAAACAGATTTCTGAACCCCACCTCAATCTGTAACATCACAATCTTTGGGGAAGGAGATGGAGAATATGCATTTTTTTCTTCTTTTTTTGAGACGGAGTCTCACTATGTTGTCCAGGCACACAGTGGTGTGATCTCACTGCAACCTCTGCCTCCTGGGCCCAAGTAGTCCTCCCACCTCAGCCTTCCAAGTAGCTATAGGCACGTGCCACCATGCCCAGCTAGAGAATATGCATTTAAAAACACCTGATATTTCTATAACACTGAAGTTGAGAACTACCAATCTGGTGTAAGAACAGAAAGGAGGAAAAAAAATCAAGCAGAATTTTAAGCAAGAAAATTCCAGATTGCTGATAACCACTTCAATTAGTCACTACAAGGGTTTGTGAAGTCACATTATTAAATCATTCTATATAGATTTTTCAAAAGATGTGCCTATTTAATGAGGTTTGCTAAGCACAACTGTATTAAATGACTTTGGACTCAGCAGAAACTATTTGATAATAAGGCTATGATAAATGTCATTGCCTTTGAACTTAAAAAAGACTCCATATAGAAGAATAACAAGGTCTGGGCATCTTATCTGTCAGAAAATTTTATTTTTTCATCAGTTCAAAGCATTCTTTTTCATTAGAAACCAAATTCTGTAAATAGAGCTCCATTTCTTAGGGCAAAATTAAGACCGTATCACTTGCTTCCAAGAAACTGTTAACAAAAGAGATGAAAAAATAAGAAATGTTCTTGTTCCTGTTAAACAAAGCAGAAATCCCATTAAAGTATATACTGAATTCACACCATGATCAGGGTACTGCAAAGCATCAAAGCTATATTAAGACATGGTGTTTGCATTTGAAGCAAACAAGTGACTAAAGGCTTCACAGAGAAGGGAACATTTAATGCAACCTCTGATAAGTACAGGCTCTGAAGAAAAAGACAGACTAGGGAGCGAGCCCAGGAGGAGAAACCTGAGAGAACAGGCCCACAGTAATGAAGCATGAAGTATGTTAAATGAAAGGGACAGAGAGGTTTTCTTGGCAAAAAAAAAAAAATAAGTAGAGGAAAATAGAAGACGTAAAGTAATGGTAATATGGGTAATAATGTCAAGGTGAGTTTAGATTTTTTTCATCTAATGTAGATTTTTGTGCATGACAGTTGTATCATTAGATCTGAGCTCTATTAGATTAATCTACTGCAGTGTGGCTTTAGGGGGACGGGGGAAACTAGTTTGGAAGTTGTTATTATAGACCAGGAAGAAAATAATAAGGGCCTGAAATTGGCATAGAAGCTGAGAGAATAGCTTTCCTTAATAAAGTTTAAGATATTAATTATATAAATTTAAATATCTCATTGGGTTTTCCCAAAATCTATTACGTACATCAAGGAAAGTATTACTGATCCCAAATATTTTACATGAAGAAACTGTGGCTCAGATAATTTAGGAGCGTTTCCTAAGGTCAAGTGACTATAAGCAGCAGACTTAGGATTCTAAACTAGGTTAGTTGATTCCCAATCTACCACTCTTTTCACAACCCATGTCATTTCATCATAATATAGAGAAGACAGACATTGTACAGATAGAATTCAGAGTGTGACTAGACAATAACTACCACTATCACCACCATCGCCACTATCATTTAGTGAGCACTTACTATGCAACAAGCACTACGCTAAGCAATTTGAATACATTATTTCACAGGCAAATGAACACATACAGAGAATGAAGACATGTAACAAATCAAAGATAAAGCTAAGTTGTCAAGCTCTGGTAAATGACAGGATAATGGTGTCACCTAATAAATCCAATACATATCAGAATAATTATCTACTCTATGTAAGGCCTAAAAAGTCAGATGGAAAAATGCTTGGGAGCTAAAAATAGGAAAAGAAAATATTGACTTTGTTTGGATGACAAGATATTCACATGCTCAGCTGTTTGTACCTAGAGTTTGGGAGTAGAGAACTAGACTAGAAACAGCAACCCTAGAGGAACCTGTCTGGCAAGTTAAAGGCATGTGGGAATAGGATATCACTGAAAAGTATGAAAAGAAAGAAGAATGTAGAAGGCAAACTTTGTGCTCTGCCTACATTTCAGAGTTAGCAAAAGAAGCTAGTAAAAATCAAAGCAGGAGCCCAATATTCAGTAAGGTAGGGGAGTGTTTAATTACAAAATAAAAGAATGTTAAAAAAAAAAAGGAGTGAAGGGGATGAGGCAGACCTTCTGGCTACAGCTGAATGAAGAGACTGGCAAATCCTCCCTGTTAAAAGCAGCTGATAGGCCGGGTGCAGTGGCTCCTGCCTGTAATTTTAGCACTTTGGAAAGCCGAGACGGGGGAATCATTTGAGGCCAGGAGTTTGAGACCAGCCTGGCCAACATGGCGAAACCCCGTCTCTACTAAAAGTACAAAAATTAACCAGGTGTAGTGGCATGTACCTGTAATCCCAGTTACTCAGGAAGCTGAGGCACAAGAATCGCTTGAACCCAGGAGGCAGAGGTTACAGTGAGCCGAGATCATACCACTGCACTCCAGCCTGGGTGACAGAGCAAGACTCTAACTCCAAAAAAAAAAAAAAAAAAAGCAGCTATAAAGCTAGATAAAATTGACAAAACAATATTTGCATTTTAGAAATTGATTAAAAGGCATGCAACAACCTGAAATCTGTTTACACTTTAAAAATTGTTGAACTTTGGGTAAGAACGGTGAGAATCTGTGGCATTCTAGCCTGTGGCTGCTCCTGTTCCTCTCCCAGCTCAGTCACTATGAAGGGGCCATCAGGGTGGCACGGACTGTGAGGACTGGCAGCTCCTCTGCTGAGGCTGAAAAGGGCTCATTCATTTGGAGTGGTGGGCAACATACACACCCAACAACATCAGTAGAAGTGAAGATCCCTGAGGTGAGTGAGAGGTGAGAGCCAATAACTCTACTAGCCAGAAGTTGTGGTTGTAGATGTGAAAAATACAGTAATTGAAAAGAAAAATTCACTATAGGTTCAACAGCAGATTTGAGATGACAGAAGAATCAGGGAACTTGAAGAAAGACTAGTAGAAATTATACAATCTGAATAATAGAACAAAGATTGGGAGTATCATTTGAACCCAGGAGTTCAAGGCCAGCCTAGGCAACACAGCAAGACACCATTTCCAAAACAAACAAAAGGAACCCACCAAAATTTGTGTAATGGGAGTAAAAAGATTTTAAAAAAGAGAAAGTGAAAAGGACAGAAAATATTTGAAGAAATAATGGCTGAAAACTTCTGAAAATGATTAAAAAAAAATCAATCTACAAATGCAAAAAGCTCAACCAACCCTAACCAGGACAAATACAAAAAGGTCCACACCCAGACACATCATATTTAAACTGCTGAAAGCCAAAAAACAGAGAACATCTTGAAAGCAGCAAGAGAAAAGTGACTCATCACACGCATGGGAGTATCAATACAATCAATGGCTGGCTTCTCATCTCAAACCACAGAGGACGGAAAGCAGGAGAATGACATATTCAAAGTGCTGGGGGGGATCTCCATATACTGGTTGAGTGCAGTGGCTCATGCCTGTAATCCCAGCACTCTGGGAGGCTGAGTCTAGGTGTTCAAGACCAGCCTGGGCAACATAGCCAGACCTTGTTTCTATAAAAAAATTCTAAGATTTAGCCAGGGTGGTGGCGCATGCCTGTAGTCCCAGCTACCTGAGAGGCTGCGGTGGGAGGATTGCTCAAGCCCAAGTGTTCAAGGCTGCAGTGAGCTGTGACTGGGCCACTGCACTCTAGCCTGGGTGACAAGAGCAAGACCCTGTCTCTAAAAAAAAAAAATAATAAACATTATAGAAACAAAGGCCAGGCGCGGTGGCTCACGCCTATAATCCCAGCATTTTGGGAGGCCGAGGCAGGCAGATCATAAGGTCAGGAGATAGAGATCATCCCGGCTAACACGGTGAAACCCCATCTCTACTAAAAATACAAAAAATTAGCCAGGCGTGGTGGCAGGCGCCTGTAGTCCCAGCAACAGGCTGAGGCAGGAGAATGGCTAAGTAAACCCAGGAGGCGGAGCTTGCAGTGAGCCTAGATCACGCCACTGCACTCCAGCCTGGGCAACAGAGCAGCGAGACTCCGTCTCCAAAAAAAAAAATAAATAAAATAAAAAGGAAAAACCCATATACCAGGAATTCCCAATCTAGCTAAACTGGACTTCATTCTTCATTCATTCAAAAGTCAAGAAAAAATAAGTGTAGTCCCAGACAAAGACTGACAGAACAACCATGTATGCTGAAAGAAACTTACTCCAGAAAGGGCAAATATAATAGTATACAATAGACTTATAGATACATTTTTTTCTCATATCCTTCCATAACAATTGTAGCACTGTATTATAGACTCACAACATATAAAAACTTAATATACAGGACACTAATAGCACAGAGCATAGAGGAGGGAACAGAGCTATATTGGAACAAAGTGTCTACATTTTACAAGAATTAAGGTGAGTATAATCTGAAGTACATTGTGAAAAATTAAGATGCATACTATAATCCTAAAAGCAACCACTGGAAAATAACTCAAAAAATCATTTGACAATTAGAGGAATTAAAATGGTACAATTAAAAAAATTCATATGACACAAAAGAAGACAGTCAAGGAACAACAGAATTCCCATGCCAAGAATCTTAGATGATCTAAAATATGCCTTTTCAATATCAACTGTATCAAAGAATATGACATTAACAATTTTGACTAGAGAATCAAGTGGAAATTATTATGGTATTATTAAAGTATGTTATTCAGGTTTGGTGAAACAGAAGAAAATGAGGACACAGATATCAAGTGACAAAAAAAGAATGATTAGTTTCCCAAATCTCAAGGTTTACAGCAATCATTCTTTATATTCCTTCCAACAACTTAACCTCTGAAAGAATGCAAGAGAGACACAGACCCGAATGGGAACTCATTTTGTAAATTTATGTAGACCCTAATAAAAATCATCCTCTGCTGGTCTCAAAAGCAAATGGAGAAGTTATTGCTTAGTATGCAGCATGTGACTGATACGTATTTCAGCATTGCAGAGATGATCTGCATAATTTGGAGTAGAATGAATTTTGGCTAGGTATCTCAGACAGATCTCTAGATCTCAGTTTTAGATATAGAAGACTGTATAATTTGTATGGAAATAGTAATTCATAGCTTTGAACAAAACAGTCCTATTACCTGAATTTCTTCAACCACTGATTTGAACTGGGGAATACGTTCTGTCATGTTTTTAACCAATTCCATTGCATTATCAAATCCTTTCACATATTCTCCATACATCTTAAGGAATGGTGCCAATTTCTGAAGGATGTCTCCAATTCTAGGAGTAGTTTCCCTGTATCAAATATAGAAAAACAAGTCTTTAAAAAAAATTTTTTTTTGAGACAGGGTCTTGTTCTGTCACCCAGACTGTAGTGCAGTGGCATTATCACAGCTCACTGCAACCTCGACCTCCCAGGTTCAATCAATCCTCCAGCTTCAGCACTCTCAGTAGCTGGGACTACAGGCACGCGCCACCACGCCTGGCTAGTGGCTAGCTTTTTGTATTTTTTGTAGAGATAGTGTGTCACCATGTTGCCCAGGCTGGTCTTGAACTCCTGGGCTCAAGGGATCCGCCTGCCTTGGCCTCCTAAAGTGCTGGGATTATAGGCATGAGCCACCACGCCCGGCACATTAAGATTTCTTATAGAATGAGTGAATTGACAGGACTAGAGAGGAAGTAATCACATTCTACATACATCCTGTGCTTTATCTCATTCACCGTACTGTGAGGCTGATAGAAAACAATGCAGCACCTTTTTAAAGGGGCTATCAGAATGCCATAGCAAAGAGAGATGCTCCGGAATTCTTGAAGCTCCACATTACCCGATATCTTGTCTTCACTAGCTAAATGATAGTTTGGAGAGCAGACATGAAGTCCTTTGTACCACAACTTCTATCAGTAGTCTTTAATGTAAAAATTTAGCATAAATGTCTAGTTACAGTTGTGTGTGGCATTTCTATTTCAATTTAAAAGCTGAAAAATACAGCATGACTGCCTTAAACATATCATTTTCTATCTACTCCTCTTACCATTCTTGCATTCGTTTCTCCAGCTCTGGCAAGAGGAATTTACTATGGAAGGCATTTATTGATGAAATATTAGAAAAGATTTTATTCACCATCTCTGCTGGAAACGAGCCTCGGTTTGCTTCTTCCAACAGTTTGCAATAAAATACCTGAATAAAAGAATAATGTAAGCATTACTTCACATTTATTGGTTAACCACCTAGCACTGTGCTAGGCACATAGTGGGCTCTTAGTAACTTTTTATTGAGCAAATGGAAAAGTTTACAGTTCAAGAGAATCCTTTGAAATTTAGGAGTGAGTATATGCTTTGATTTAGAAGAATCAGGAATAAGAATTAGGAAGCTTTGATTCTAATCTAGGCTATGCTCCTATCCATAGGAATATTATGGCGAATAATTCACCTTTTCTGTGCCAGAAAATTTCCAGTTGAGGTTAATAGAATTCACCCTTCCTATCCATAAGCCAGAGTTAGGAAATGTGAAAACACTTTATGTATACACAGTAATTGTGGTATTTTTCACTTCTCTTTATGTTTCGAAAGACTTCTTCACTTATTACATATTTCCCTTTATTGTAGTTTGCTGACATAAGTCTCATTTTTCCTATTAAAATTGTATGCTCCTTGGGAAAGGGGAACATCATGATTTAGTTCCCACAACAGAACAAGTGCATAATAACTGGCCAATGAATGGACAAAGGAATATTTCAATTCTCAGATACTTACCTGCTTTTTAGTAAATAATAATGCATAGTAATGTAAAACACTGATATGTAGGGGGAAAAGTCTCTTCCTACACATAGTAACACGTACCTTGAAGACAAAAAAAAAAAAAAGAAAGAAAGAAAGAAAGAAAGAAAAACAAAAAACAAAAACCCAAACCTTCAGTCTTAGCTATACTTCACTAGGGCTACTATACCTCTTAATTGCCATTCTGTTACATGTAGGCAGAAGGAGGTCTATTCCTTCATAATGTCCAGATGGTTGTTAATTTTCTAAATTCACCTCCACTCTATTTTCTTGAGAGGCAAAAAGAACAAAAAATTATGTCCTTAGAGGCTCCAATAGTTAGGTTACTATAGTAATTAGGACTCTAGAATTCTAAAAGGTCAGCAGCAGTGGCTGACGAGTTATTTGGCTTTAGAAAACCACACAACTTGATAAGAGAAAAGAAATATCTCCACTATGGGAATATCTAAAATTTCAGGTCTGTAATTCCCATAAGGAAGAAAGTTGTTTCAAAGGTACAAACTTCATATCATTTGATTTTGGCTTATGGTGAAATTCCTTCAAAAATGAATATGTGACCCATAAACTCATTCTTTCAAAGAGCATAGGCCTTAAAATGGCTTCTCATGGCTCACCCTAGCAGGCAAGTGGTTCACTTCTGGAACTAATGATAAGGAGGTATGCACAGGATTGCCTGTTTCCATGAAATTCCAGTTTCCAATGGCAGAAGTGGGACAATTCTTATAAGTAACACTCTAACATGGCAGCTTTCCCTTCTAACAAGGAGGCTATATGGGCAATCTACCATTTGTCCTATTCTTTATTGCTGAAACAGGATTAGGATGCCTTAGGGTCCAGGCGTGGTGGCTCACGCCTGTAATCCCAGCACTTTGAGAGGCCAAGGTGGGAGGATCACAAGGTCAGGACTTTAAGACCAGCCTGGCCAACATGGTGAAACCCCGTCTCTACTAAAGACAGAAAAAATTAGCCGGGCGTGGGTGGTGCATGCCTGTAATTCCAGCTACTCGGGAGGCTGAGGCAGGAGAATTGCTTGAACCTGGGAGTAGGAGGTCGCAGTGAGCCAAGATCAAACCACTGCACTACAGCCTGGGCGACAGGGCCAGACTCCATCTCCAAAAAAAAAAAAAAAAAAAAAAAAAAAAAAGATGCCTTAGTTTTCAAAAGTTATTCTTTTTTTTTTTTTTGAGACGGAGTCTCGCTCTGTCACCCAGGCTGGAGTGCTAGTGGCGCGATCTCGGCTCACTGCAAGCTCCGCCTCCCGGGTTCACGCCATTCTCCTGCCTCAGCCTCCCGAGTAGCTGGGACTACAGGCGCCCGCTACCACGCCCGGCTAATTTTTTGTATTTTTAGTAGAGACGGGGTTTCACCGTGTTAGCCAGGATGGTCTCGATCTCCTGACCTCGTGATCCGCCCGCCTCGGCCTCCCAAAGTGCTGGGATTACAGGCGTGAGCCACCGCGCCCAGCCCAAAAGTTATTCTTATAATATGTTCTTAGACTTTCCAAGTGTATATTTGAAATGATACTCAAGGTTTCATGATGCAAGTACAATATATGATAAAGTACATTCACACATTAAACAAATATCAGCTGGGCAACTTTATGCCAGGTACTATATTAAATGTTTCATACAAGGTCGAATAAGTGAACTTTCAAAATCCCTTCTGGCCCTATGACTACACCAGCTCAGATCACTCACATAATGCTAGATAGCAAATGAGGCAAACAGAATCAATGACACATCCATCTTAGCATTAGAATCATCAATATCTTATTTAGATTTTAGTGGTAACATGGTCCCCAGGATGACAATGAAAGGTCAGGAAACAGACTAGTGTTTAAGTTTATAGGACACTTGATAAACACATTTTGTGATTCATAGAGAGAAACCTCTACTCTTTACAAATTAGAAAATGCTTATACCTAGTGAATTCACTCACAAAGCTCAAAGTGCTGGAGATTTCCTTGAGCAAGTACCTTTCACTAGCCAAAAACAGGCCCTTCCTTCATGCAGTTTCTAAAATACTCTAATTACTAGGTTAAAATGATGTATAATGCCAAAATATAAAATAATTCTGAGAAAGAAAATCTTACCTGATCTAAGAGGTCAAGTCGGTTGACATAAGCTCTTTCAGTAAGCAAAAGTTCATTGGCTATTTTGTGAAGTTTTTGCTCATTAGTCTCCTAAAAATTGGAAAGATATTCACACATTAGGAAAGATACCTTGGACAATATTTCTAAAGTAAAAAACGCTTCTTCAAATGATTTGATCAAAACAGTTTTCTCAAGCTTTTCAGTTACTCGGTTCTTTCAGCCATCAAGAGATGTCAAACCAGAAATGAACAAAATTAGAAATTAGCAAGCAGCTGGATTTAAACTATAGTTTCTCCTTTGACCTCTGCAGCAGTTACCACTATCATATCTACCTTTTTCCTGGAAATCTATCTTTTTCAGTTCCTAGCATTATCTTTCTTCATTTTTCCATCTTTCTCAGGCTACTCTTTGGAAATGTTATCACTCAGACATCTTGTCTAATTATCAGTTCTATACATTTATTAATTTTTTATTTTTAAAAAATATTTTATTAGGCCAGCCGCAGTGGCTCATGCCTGTCATTCCAACATATTGGGAGGTAGAGGAGGGAGGATCACTTGAGCACAGGCGTGGTGACGCACATCTGTAGTCCCAGCTACTTGGGAGGCAGAGATGGGAGGAGGTTGAGGCTGTGTAAGCCATGACTGTGCCACTGCACTCTAGCCTGGGTGACAGAGCAAGACCCTATCTCAAAAAAACAGAAAGAAAAACTTCAATCAAATAATACAGAAAACAGTAAAGTGAACCCCCACATGCCCATCAATGAGATTCAACAAGTATCAACTCATTGTTAATCTTGTTTCATTTACGCTCCCCCTCACCTCTGTCTGCCCATTTTATTTTGTATTAATTCCACTTTATTTCTTCAGTATGTATTTATTTAAGCCTTAAATATACTTATATAACTCTGCCAGTTTCATGATGACAGAAACATTTTTTCCTTGTTAGCTGCTGTATCTCCTGTGCCTACTACAATGCTTCAATAAAAACACTGGTATTCAATACAATATTGCCGAACAAATGAATGAATGAGTAGCAATCACATACCTAACTATTGCTGGACATTTATTACTACTTTGACATGCTGACAACACAAGACCAAATTCATCTTTTCTGAGAAACCTCTACCCTACTATTAACTCCTAATTTTCTCCTCCTGGTAATGGTACAATTATCTGGCTTTGGAATCTTGAATTAAACTTATTTCTCTACCATGGCATCCTGACTGCTACCAAGTCCTACTTATGATACTATGTCTTTAGCATTCATCCTTTAAGCTCTCAACACTGCCACCCTGTTTCGCTCATCTCTTCTCAAGCCCAGACCAATCAATAGCTATCAAATGATCTGATTACAATATTTTGTGGCGTGAATTTACCTTCTGTATTGCTGTATGAGGGATCTTTCTAAAACTTTCCTTTGTTCCACATTTATAAAGCATTGTCAAGAATGAATTAATCCTTATAAATACTAAAAAGAAACAGTATTTCCAAATAATTAAGCCATTGTCTCTGAATGTTTTTATTTTTGTATTTTGTCAGTTGTTTTGTGGAAATCTTTCTAATGTATATGCGAAGATTTCTGCTCTGAGAAAAATATATAACAAAGTTATATCCTTCCATGTACTTCTCTTTTTGTTTTTTTTTTTTTTAAGACAGAGTTTTGCTCTTGTTGCCCAGGCTGGAGTGCAATGGCATGATCTCGGCTCACCGCAACCTCTGCCTCCCGGGTTCAAGTGATTCTCCTGCCTCAGTCTCCCGAGTAGCTGAGATTACAGGCATGCACCACGACGGCCGGCTAATTTTGTATTTTTAGCAGAGACGAGGTTTCTCCATGTTGGTCAGGCTGGTCTTGAACTCCCAACCTCAGGTGATCCGCCCGCCTCAGCCCCGCAAAGTGCTGGGATTACAGGCATGAGCCAATGCGCCCAGCCCCTTCCATGTACTTCTCCAGGACTATTTCTCTTAAAGAGAAAAGAAAATTCTAAACTTAAAAAAAAAAAAACTTTCCATTGCATACATAATTCTACTTTCATAGAAAGAAAAGCCTTCAGTAGTCTTCCTCTCACTGACAGGACAAAATCCATACTATGTACATTCAGGGTTATTCAAACCTCTACTCACTTCCTCAAACTTTTATCATCACAGGCACCATTCCCTCCAAACACATCACTCAAATGCATGTTTGATTATTATCCAAACGTGTCCCTGGTTATCTCTAAACCTTTCTTCTTTCCATCCTCTCTGCCTGGCATATGCTCTTGCTATTGTAGCTCTCTAGGTGTCTAAGATGCTTTTCTTTTGACTGCTGCATTTCCAATTCTTGTCCATGGGGCCTTCTTCAACTATTCAAAGCCCTTGGGCTTGGTCCTATTAGAAGGCATTTTATCTTTCATATGCAAATCTTTGTATTGAAAACTTTCTATCTAGTACTTTGCTGAAATACCCTCCCTTTCTCTGTAGCAGATTATAAAGTATAGGCAAAACTCTAAAAGCAAAGTAGACCAAAGTATATTTTAAGCCAGTGTCTAACTTAGGTATAAATACTATATTTTAAACTGCGTATAAATGCTATTAAGTTCTATGAATACTTCACTATGTTCACCACATGAGATCTACTTCATGCTTTACACTTTACACACAAGATCCTTTCAATATGTAAAGTTAATGTGTTGTTTCTTACAGTGGCATTGAAATGAGGTATTTTTAGGTGAAGTCCTCAGGTATAGCAATATAATAGTGTTTAAATAATTTGTGGTCTCAGAAATATGGAAATAAGAACTATGCAGTCATCTAATTCCACAATTAGTCAAAGTTTGGATTTAACTTAATACAATTCGGGATAAAGTACTGGCATTGTTGGTTGCCAGCCTGGCATATTTCCCACCCCTCATTTCTTAATAGTATCCAGATTGGGTTAGTGTATATATTACTACTATACAGTCAGTTCCTCTAGGGAAACAGACCTTATTTCCAGATCAAAAGGTGGGGCCCTGAATAGTGTAAGAATCCAAGTTCATAGTGATTGGTTCTGGAGACAATGAGATATGAGGAAATATATACTGAAGGCTTTGGCAATAGGAAGCTTCCTACTCTTAAGGCAGAGCCCAATGGGAAGACATTTCAGGCTCCCAGAGAATGAGAGTATATGGAGGCTTAAGTGCTATGAGCAACGATTCCATTACCACAGGAATGAAGCCAATAAACTTCATTATTGTTTAGGCCGGGCTTAGTGTTACTTGTGGCCAGAAGCATCCTGGTTGATATATGATACATATGCAGGATACTCCATGAAATTTAAAAACCTAAGTAATTTTTAAGCAATTACTACTTATAAGGAAAAAGAGATAAAACTTAAATACATTGTGGGATAAAAATGTGACTTTCCATCCTGTAATAAGTAAACATAAATGCATAGTAATTACATAAGACACCTATCAATATTTCAGAGGAAGATACAGGAATATGCTGTCCTTCATATTCACAGGAAATATTCCCCTGCATCAACATTGTAAGCCCTTTGTTTTATTTTGCTGTGTTGTTTTTTTTTTTTTTTTTAGACGGAGTCTCGCTCTGTCACCCAGGCTGAAGTGCAGTGGCGTGATCTTGGCTCACTGCAACCTCTGCCTACCGGGTTCAAGCAATTCTCCTGCCTCAGCCCCCCAAGCAGCTGACACTACACGTGCGTGCCACCATGCCCAGCTAATTTTTTGTAGTTTTAGTAGAGACGGGGTTTCACCATGCTGGCCAGGCTGGTCTCGAACTCCTGACCTTGTGTTCCGCCTGCTTTGGCCTCCCAAAGTGCTGGGATTACAGGCATGAGCCAATATGCCAGGCCTATTTTGCTTTTCTAAGCCAGAATGGTTGAGGCATAATTTATAAACAGTAAAATTTACCCTTTTTGGTGTACAGTTCCAGGAGTTTTGACAAATGCATGTGATAATGTAACCCAGAGGTCCCCAACCTTTTTGGCACCAGGGACCGGTTCTGTGGAAGACAGTTTTTCCATTGACTGGGTTGGGGTGGGGAGAGAGGGATGGTTTCAGGATGATTTAAGCACATTACATTTATTGTGTACTTTATTTCTATTATTATTACATTGTAATATGTAAGGAAGTAATTATACAACTCACCATAATGTTGAATCAGTGGGAGACCTGATCTTGTTTTCCTGCAACTAGACAGTCCCATCTGGGAGTGATGGGAGACAGCGACAGATCATCGGTCATTAGATTCTCATAAGGAGCATGCAACTTAGATCCCTCGCATGTGCAGTTCACAATAGGGTTCAAGTTCCTATGAGAATCTAATGCTGCTGCTGATCTGACAGGAGGTGGAGCTCAGATGGTAACGTGAGTGATGGGGAGCAAGCCTGTAAATACAGATGAAGCTTCACTTACTTGCTCGCCTGCCCCACCACTCAAAAGGCCACATCCCTAACAGGCCACAGACCAGCTGGTACCAGTCCGTGGCCTACGGGCTGAGGACCTCTGATATAACCACTACCATAATCAAGATATGGAATATTTCATCATGCCTCAACTATTTTTGTGCCCCTTTGTAATCAACCCCCTCTATGCTCCTACCACCAGATCCTGGTACCTAGTGATCTTTCCTTTCTATAATGTCATGTAAATGCATGTGCCTTCTTAGTCTTGTTTCTGTCATTCAGCAAAATTCATTTGAAATACATGCATGTTGTTATTAGTAGCAGTAGCCTATTCTTTTCAAGACCTTGGTTTTATTCTGATAGTGCTGATGTATCGTTTTGACTCACTCATATCCTATGTTCTGATTCTAATTCTGACAATATCTTTAAAGACAGCAACCTGGCAGAACTTGTGCCATGATAAAATAATACATCTTTCATGAATCAGGGAGTATGTTAACTAACAGATATAACTGTGTATTACTGCTATGCAATGAAGTCACCCCTGAGGTCCTCCACAATCCTACAGGATCTTAAATAGGAAGCTTATCAGAATAATCTTTGCTGACTGCAAAGCATGCTTTAGCTGAACTTGGCAATTGTGGATATCCTGGTCAGATTTTGCAAAATCCAAGGGGGATGCCAGCAGTTATTAGCAAAAGCTATGCTCTCTCCACACAGACCACCTTCTACATGTTAGGTCCCTAACCCTGACAAAGCCAACACAAGGATAAGCAAAAAGTAAGTTTGCTGACAACATACGGTTTAATCACTCACTTACATATAGGTTTGCAGAAAAGTTACTAGGGATTTTGGGATGGAGATGAGTAAATCACGGACTAATTGTGCCTTGCTTTAGGTCAATTAAAACAGCAATAATAATACCACCATAATAACAAAAACTAACACTTATTCACTGATTATTGTATGCCAGACACTGTTATAATTATTTTACATAAACTGATGAATCCTTACAACAATAAATACCATTATTATTTCTATTTTACAGACAGCACACATACAACAAAACAAAATCCTGAGGCTCAAAGAGGCCAGGTTACTTACCCAAGGTCACAGAGTTAGAAAGTAACTGTATCATATAGGCAAGTACATGATTTTAAGTTACTATTCATGATATACCTTGGCTCTCACTATCATCTTTCTTTCAACAAAACCCAAGACTGTGATATGTGCCTGTAAATAGACAGACTGACAAATCACCAACTATCTGCTTACAAAATCCACCTGGAAATGAAAAGTGGTACTACTACATACTTTAATTTATATATTATTTTTTTCCAACATAAATTCTATTAAAGAGATACTTTTCAGCATTTTAGTAATTATTAGGTATACAAAATACAGTCATTTTGAAGTAATAATATGGTGGCTTCCAACTTTAAAAACTTATTTAAGGAAACTCATCTATAAGGATATTTAAGGAGAAATAGATGATTTATTTGCATGCATGGGGCTTTATTACTATATTAGAATTACATATAAATAATAAAGTAGTCTTAAAATTGCTGGTACATTGGGGCTATAGCCTGATATTTTTTTTAAACAGGAAAGCTAAATAGGTAAATACTGTTTCTTAACATTGGGCACTTCAAAGTTACATAACCACTACTTGTGCTTAGCGCTTTACCATGAAGCCATTTATTCTTGCAGTCCTTTGGGAAACAGTAATAGTCATGCACTATTAATTTAATATATAATCCCATTTTCTTCTACTGAAGTCTAAGAAAAAAAGCTTGACTTTTCAACATAATTTATGATTAAAATATAATTTATAGTTTTTCAAAAATGGGATTTTAAAAGAATCTTACTTTTGATATCCCTTTATTTTAAATAGAGATATCAAAAGTAAGATACTTTTAAAATCCCATCTCTACTGAAAATACAAAAATTAGCTGGGAATGGTGGCGCACGCCTGTAGTCCCAGCTACTCAGGAGGCTGAAGCAGGAGAATCGCTTGAACCCAGGAAGCGGAGGCTACAGTGAGCCGAGATCACACCATTGCACCGCAGCCTGGGCGAAAGAGTGAGACTCTGTCTCAAAAAATAAATAAATAAATAAATATATTAATTTTTACCTTACAAATACATACACAATGCTATACTCATAAATTGAAAGGTGATTCCCAGAGTATTGCCTCAAAATAAAAATACACAAGAGGATATCTAAGCTATCAGCACCAAAAGTTACACTCCTCTTACAGTAACAGAGTATGCAATTAACTTTCCTCTTTCTGTGTAATGCACTTCCTAGGCTGTTACTGTCTGCCTTCACACCTCCAGTACCCTTTGGGAGAGATCTGCTCCTTTCTCTCTGGGCTTAGGTTCGGCCTGGTTGTTAGTCACTGTAGCCCACTGCTTCATGAATGTACTGCAGTGTCAGTCCTGCCTCCTCATTTTCAGGTGTCACCAGATCCTGCAGCTCTGTTCAGACCTTTTGGCATGACTCTCCCATATGGCTGGAGGCAGAACAAAGGGCCCCCACTGCAGCTCACAGAGTTCATTAACTGGATAGGCAGAAACACTTGGGTGGCATCAGCGATTCATTCTTCAAAATCTTGGTGCCATCCACCCTGCCATGTGCCTCGAAGCTACCAAGTCGGGGAGCAGATCTTCTGGGAAGAATGTTGTAAATGCTAAAAACAATTATGATTTCCTGAGAGATGCTTCAAATGCAAAATCTTCAATTATTTTAAAATGAATCAGACAATATTATTCTTTATGACTCTTCAGCACATGTTCTCATATGTGATTTCATTTTAGGTAGGAAGAATTTTCCTAAAAACATATACCAAAAGCTACTAAAAGGTTTTGCAGCTTTTCCTATCTACTTATTAGAGGTTATAGTCAAAACAAAATGTACGTAAATGACCTAAGTAAATTATCAGGTTTTTATAGGACATGAATGAATATTTCTTAATCATGGGAAGTTTCTATTCAAATCTGCTGTCAGTTAGATAATTATATTCTTCTATGGAAAGAGAGTGGGTACCCTTTGTACAGGTACATACATCTCTGTGGTCCCTAAAGCCCATTCTCTGGTAAAGAAGTTGAGTCAACTTAGGGAATGAATATTTGATTTTGTACCACAATTTATCAGATGCATCAACACTTTGATATGTCATTTTATATGTCTTGTCACAAACTGAAGCCTTCATTGGGGCTGCAGGCTGTTAAATTAAAATTAGATCACAAGGACATTTGAATGTCACATAATTGGTCTAACCTATTACTTGTATTAGACATCTTTGTTCTGTGATATTCCAAAGTTCTGCAGATTCTTTATCATGAAACTAAGGAGCTGGGAAATCAAGGAAGCTATCACAAGTGAGAGATGGTGACAACCACCACTATTTAATGAATACTTACTACGTGCACTATTCTATGTACTGCACATGAGTTATCTCTTGTAATCCTAATCCATCTGTGAAGCAGGAGTATTATCACTCTCATTTTATAGATGAGGAAGCTGTGCCATCATGAGGTTAAGTAACTTGCCCAAAGTCATACAGCTAGTAAGCGAATGAGCCAGGATTCAAACCCGGGTCTGTGAAAACCAACTTGTGCTCTGCTACAGCCTTTTGCATGAGGAGAAATCCCTCTGGATTTGGGGAACAAGAAAACCAGGAGGTAGAGGAATAAAACACAGGTTTCATGGTCAAATAAGATCATGTCATAAATGCCATCAAAAGGGTCATGAGGTCTCAAGAACTATTTGTTAACAGTAGGGAATTTATCACTAGGCTCACATTATTAAAAAGAGAGAGAGAGAGAGAACACCCACTTATGATATGCATATATCATTCCTTGCTTTTTTTTTTTTTTTTTTTTTAGATGAAGTCTCACTCTTGTCCCCCAGGCTGGAGTGCGATGGCGCGATCTCGGCTCACTGCAAACTCTGCCTCTCGGGTTCAAGTGATTCTCCTGCCTCAGCACCCACTGAGTAGCTGGGATTATAGGCGCCTGCCACCATACCCAGCTAATTTTTGTATTTTTAGTAGAGACGAGGTTTCACCATGTTGGCCAGGCTGGTCTAGAACTCCTGACCTCAGGTGATCCACCTGTCTCGGCCTCCCAAAGTGCTGGGATTTCAGGCATAAGCCACCGCGCCCGGCATTCCTTGCTTTATAATATAGTGTCATAAGCATCAACAGGCTGTCAGCTCGGCATGATCCTTCAAGAAGCTTCAAGAAGTAGTCCAGGCCTACTTGTGACTTACCACCAATATTTTCCCAAACTTAGGTCTTCCACACTATCCAATTCAAAACTTGAAATAAGAGGGGAGAACAATGAGTGAGAGTTAATGGCACAATCTCAGCTCACTGCAACCTCTGCCTCCTGGGTTCAAGGAGAGTTAAAAGTGAGAGCTTTTAATCTGAAGGTTTCAATTACGTTCTTTCGTGACATGGGGAGGAGGGGGAAACAGAGGTTGCACAAAGAAAAAAAGTTTGGTTACTTGCACAAGATCAGACAGGAAGTAAGTGGTGGTGAAGAGAGAACAACTTTGGTCTTCTTATAATCTATGTAGTGTAAGTTACACTAAAGAGTCCTTTGAGTTTTATAGAAATTAAAGAACAGGCACCAAGAAAAACTGAATATGTATACACATTAAATAACTGAATTAACCTGTCTAAAGACTTAGTCATCAAAGTATCTCAGTCATTTATAAACGCTTTATGTTAATTCTGTTAAGTCAGAACCTTGTATACACTAATGAGAGTACATCATGTGGTAATAACCAACAGTCCTCAGGCAGGAGAAACAAAATACAGGAACCCTAAGTTAAAAAAGAGGTGGTATGCAAACTTCTCTGTGTATCCTACAGTGGGAGAACCGAAAGAGAGGTGCTGGTATTAACCTGGCAGAATGTGTTGAAATTTGGATCTATTAAATGACATATTAGGCTTTGAGTCTATTGATCTTGATTCACAAGTGAGGAAACAGGATGTTTAATTAATAAACACATAGCTTTTATATGCCAAGGCACTGTTCTAAAGTACTTTACAACTAGTACATGATCTATACCTCATAATGTTACAAGGTAGATATGTTATCTCCATTTTACAGATGAGGAAACTGAGGCACAGGGAGGTTGAAGTAATCTGCTCAAGGTCACAGAGCTAGTAAGTAGCTGAGTGGGATTCAAATCTAGAGGACCTGGCTCTTGAGTCTGTGTTCCTGACCACTAGGTTAGGTATCTGGCTTTTTAATTTGTTTTTAACCCCATATAAAGCAAGATTTTAGCTTTCCATTTCTCTCACACTCAACTAAACTGGGTCTTTCTACACGCTGTGACCTCTAAGCACCTGATCTTTCCCAATTCTCCTGGTTCAACTCAACGTTCTGTTAAACCCCATCCTTTGTTCTCTTGGCACTGCTGACTTGCTGATCCTGGCTAATTCCCACTCCAAGTTTGCTTTTTCTCTTTCTTGAATTCCAGGCCACTCAGCAATGCTGGGAAGACTTCTGATTGGCTCTATAGTCTTTGCCCGATGCTCTCAGAATCATGGTCACTGTTGCCACAACAGCACCTTCTCCAAGCTCCAAGTCTTGCACCTGGAGGACTTCTTGCTGGTCTTGGCAGAGGACTGCCCAAATCGACACTTCAATCACCAAGCCTGCAAGCTACCTCCGTGCTGTGGTCCCTCAGTCCGTCCTAGATTCTCCATGACTTCTCCGTTTCTGCTAACAACAGTGAATTCACACTAATAGCCATGATGTAAACCTTAGCTTTATCAGTGAGGCCTTTTCCCTTTACTTCAGGATATCTTGAGTAATGGTCATTTGTTGTCTTAACTCTCCATCTCAACTGTAAGTTTCTTCTTTGTATTTACTGCGGTGCCTTGCCCATAGCCTATGTGCAATATACATTTGCTCAACTTTGTTCAATTACTCAAGTTCACCAAGTTATATACTAGTATACAGCTAGTTAGCTATCAAGGCCTACTAAAGGCTAGGTCTCCAAGTTAACTCCTAGTTCCATATTCTAAATGCTGACCATGCTTTTTTCCTTAAAGCTTTCCAATATGCCTGCACCCCTACCCCATTCCCCTCCATCCCTGTGGTTCCAAAACACTGTTCTCTCTTCTTTCTCCTCTTGGACAATTTATTAAACATCCTTTTCTATTGTTTGTGCTTCATGGCTCAACTCTTGGCCCATTTCCTGTTCCTACACATTCTGCTTTGGCAATGTTAATCACACCCTCATGCACCATCCTCTTAACATTCTTACCCTCTTTCCTGGGCTCTGGATCCACAGTTCCACTTGCTTAATTAATATCTCCAAATGGATGTTTTGCAGGAACCATAAACTTAGTATAAGAGTACAAAACTAACCTAATTAGCAACTCTACTTCCTTCTCTCAAACCCACACCATTACTTTCCTTCCTGTCATCTCAATGATTTCAACATGTCAGGAAGCCATGGCCTGGAGAGTTTGTTAAAGTGATGTGTCTGGCCAGGCACAGTGGCTCACACCTGTCAGCACTTTGGGAGGCTGAGGCGGGTGGATCACTTGAGCTCAGGAGTTCAAGACCAGCCTGGGCAACATGGTGAAAACCTATCTCTACAAAAAATACAAAAATTAGCCAGGCGTGATGGTGCATGCCTGTAGTCCCAGGTACTCAGGAGGCTGAGGCAGGAGAATTGCTTGAACCTAGGACGTGGAGGTTGTAGTGAGCCGAGATAGCGTCACCGCACTCCAGCCTGGCAGCCTGGGCAACAGACCGAGACCCTGTCTCAAAATAAATAAATAAATAAATAAATACAGAATAAAAAATAAGCAATAGCCATTAAAATTTTTTAATTACAAAAAAAGTGATGTGTCAGTGGTCACCTAGCTAGTAAGTGACGGGGCTGGGATTTGAACTCAGGTATTTTCATTCCAAAGCCTTCATGCCTAAACCAATAAATCGTAATGCTTCCAGAATTTTTTTTTTTTTTTTTTTTTTTTTGAGAGAGTCTCACCCTGTCATCCAGGCTGGAGTGCAATGGTGCGACCTAGGCTCACTGCAACCTCCACATCCAGAATTCAAGCAATTCGCCTGCCTCAGCCTGCTAGTAGCTGGGACTACAGGTGCTTGCTACTGCGCCCAGCTAATTTTTGTATTTTTAGTAGAGATGGGGTTTCACCATACTGGCCAGGCTGGTCTCGAACTCCTGACCTCAGGTGATCCCCCTACCTTGGCCTCCCAAAGTGCTGGGATTACAGGGGTGAGCCACTGCACCCAGCCCAGAATATTCTATTTTTGTAAGACATCTACACCTGGACTTCCAAGAAGCCCCTCAATTCAGTATTGCAAAATGTAATTTATTTTTTGCCCACAAAATAGGTTCTGCCTTCCATTCTCTTGTAGTTCATGTGCCATCTGCCAATTCATCCAGCCTAGGAGTTGAACCTGACTTAACCCCCACATCTAGCCACAAGGTCCTCAGAATCTTCCTTGTCTCTCACCCTCTGCTTCATCCAGGCCCCCTTCATCTCACACCTGGACTAGTACAGTTGCTTCCTAACCACGTGCCCTGCTCCATCTGTTTTCCCTTTCATCTGACTCATTTTTCAAAAACCCACACATGTGTCATCATGTCACTTCCATGCTTTAATTGTTTCTGAGGCCAGATAATATTAGGCTTATGGAAAGTTTGAATTCATATGGGGGAAATACCTATGTATAACCCAACAAAACAGGATACAGAGTGACCATACATTATGCGATCAAGTATGTTTTTTCAAACAGCTCAGAAAAACAAGCTAGAATATCAAATATCTAAGCAATTCTCACTGGTAGAATTATGGGTGTGGTTTTTGTGTGTATTTTCTGTGCTTTGCCAATTTTCTTCTTTTTCAATGAAAATTGTAAACTTTTAGCAACTTAAAAGGTTTTAAAAACCTTTTAAGATTTTTAAACTTTTTAAACTTCCAAACTTTTAAAAGTCTCTAATGTTTTCAGGAAAAAAATATGTATATTCTTAACAGGCATTCAAAAGCCCATTGCAGTCTGTTCTTAGCTTACTCTTCTAAATCTAGCCTTGTACCTCTGTATTAATTTCTCTAGCCATTCTGACCTCTGATTATGCAGTCAGAAATATTCCTCCAAATGCAGCATCTACAATCTTGCCTCTACTCATTGCTCACACTTTCACTCACCCCCATCCCAGCGTATCTTTGATCTCACCCAGCAATCTCCCATCCTTGCTTCAAGGCTACTTCAACTGCTTCTCAGCAGCCTGGCCCTCAACTAGTACTCCTGGGGCACAACTGCTCCTTCATCTGCATTTCCCTTTTTTTTTTTTTTTTTTTTTTTTTTGAGACAAGGTCTCAGCTCTGTGGCCCAGGTGAGAGTGAAGTAGCAGGATCATAGCTCACTGCTGCCTCGACCTTCTGGGTTCAAGCAATCCTCCCACCTAAGCCTCCCGAGTAGCTGGGACTACAGGCAAGTGCCACCGCACCCAGCGAACTTTTAAATTTTTTGTAGAGATGGGGTTTTGCCCGTTGCCCAGGTTGGTCTCAAACTCCTGGACTCGAGAGATCCTCTGCCGTAGCCTCCCAAAGTGCTGGGATAGCAAGTGTGAGCCACTGCACCTGGCCCAGTCATCTGTATTTCCAAAGCACTTACTGTATCATATTATGTCAATTTGTGTATGTCTCTCACCCCTCAGCAGACTGAGGCTTTGTTGATAGGGCTTGTCTAGTCCATTTCTATGTTGCTGGTGCCCAGGAGAGTGAGACTGGCACACTGAATTTTTTAATTGAACAGTTCAATTTTTTTCACATTTTTCTTTCTTATATTATGAACCTAGTAAACTGAGTAGCCACAAAAAAGAATTTTCTGAGTTCACCGTTCAGTTCTAAGTGAATAAAGAAAAGTTGCCTTTAAGATATACATATATATATATATATATATATATATATATATATAAAATTTTTGAGACAGGGTCTCACTCTGTCACCTAGCCTGGAGCGCTGTGGTGGGATCTCAGCTCACTGCAACCTCTGCCTCCCAGGCTCAAGCGATCTTCCCACCTCAGCCTCCTGAGTAGCTGGTGGTGCATGACACCACACCAGCTAATTTTTTGTATTTTTAGTAGAGATGGGGTTTTGCCACGTTGCTCAGGTTGGTCTCCAACTCCTGGACTCAAGCAATCCACCCACCTCGGCCTTCCAAAGTGCTGGGATTACACAGGTGTGAGCCACCGCACCCGGCTGCTCTCCTTTCTTTCATTCCCTATCCCTTCATTTTCCCACTCCTATGGGCATTTGGGAAATGCCCATCAAATCTAACACAGCTTAAATGAAACACATTTAAGACTATTCTGAAGTAAGTATCTATTTCCACTTCCAGGAAGATTAAAGTTTTTCAGTTGTCTGCATATTGAAATTAAAAATATTCCATTATATCTTAGAAGTTCAACACATTGGACAGCTTAAGCAGCAGCTGATAATCTGGTGTGCTATGCTAACAAGGGAATATACCTATATCACAGCATAACAGAATTAATATATAATCACTGAAATGGGCCTTAAGATTTTTCTTTTTTTTTGGGAGGGGGGGGTTACAACATGAAGATAGGGCCTTAAGATTATATACAGTTTAGATGCTTTCACTAAACACACAAAGAATTATTGACTTGTTCAAGCTCATACTGCTAGTTAATAGACAAGCCAGAAGTAGAATTGAGATTTCTTTGTTCTAATTGTGTGGTCCACTATATTACCATTGACATTTTTATTAATTTCTTTTTCTTAATTGTGGTAAAATATACCTAATAAGATTTACCATCTTAACACTACTGAGATGTATGTTTGCATTTAGGAACAAGGAAAGGCAACATAACAAACATCAGTGCAGCAAAGGTGAACACACTGCCGCAGCACACTTATGAAATCCTAACATTCCATTTTAACAGGAGAGATGTGGTGTTCGCATCAACCGCTCTGCAGAGAAAATTTGCTTTTTCTTCCCACATACAGCATGTGCCATCCACTGTGTAAAGGCCCATTCAGGAGAAAGGCCAGTAGTACTATTCTATGTTTCACTAGTTTAATAGGAAAATTCTATAAAATCTCTCCCAAAGAGGTAAGATTCATCTAAGAAAATGCATCCATAATAATATGTGAAGGGAAGAAAAAGTACCATCCAACAACCATAGGCATCATCACCAATTAGAATATTTTTCTTTGTAAGAACAGCTCTTACTATTTTATATATACTTGTTGGAGGCATCATCCCAACAGTGGCAAAAGATTTTCTTGGTTCTATAACCTTCTCTTCCTTCCATCATGGTTCACGAACAAATAAACTAAAAATCTATCATTGTATTGAGGCATAGGGATTCACTTTGCAATGTCCTGTTTCTTTACTGTTTCAGATAATGTTACCAAGTATGACTCACTTTCTCCCACCCACTTTTTTCTTTAAACTTTGTCTGCTTCAGAGTCAGTATATGTTTCACCAGCAAATCAGCTCTTTCTTAGCTGACATTGTGCATATGAGCAGAAACCCCATCCAGGCAGTTCATCAAATCACTTTCTTCTTTAGAAAGGACAGAAATGTCCAGTTCTCAACAATCCCACCAGCTTATTACCCATGGCTGCTTCATTTATTGACATTTCTTGCATTTAGCCATTTAAGTTTGTGATGTGTTGCTTCAGGGACACAACACTAGCCTGGGAGTCACAGCATGAGGGTTGTGAGCTATTATTCAAAAAACAGCGTGACCTTGAAAAAAAATCATAAGCTTTCTGGGACTATTTCTTCTTCTATAAATGAATTGCTAAACTAAGATTTTTTTTTCCTTGTTTTTTGAGACAGGGTTTCGCTCTGTCACCCTGGCTGGCGTGCAGTGGCACAATCATGGCTCATTACAGCCTTGACCTCCTGGGCTCAAGAAATTCTCCCACCTCAGCCTCCCGAGTAGCTGAGACCACAGGTGCAAACTACCATGCTCTGCTAAGTTTTAAAATTTTTGTAGATATGGGCTCTCACCATGTTGCCCAGACTGGTCTTGAATTACTGGGCTGAGGAATTCTTCCTGCCTTGGCCCCGCAAAGTACTGGGATTACAGCAATCAGCCACCATGCCTGGCTCTAAAATGATTTTTAAATGGCCTTCTAACTCAAAGACTACACCATTTATTATAAAATTGGGTATTAATTAGAAAACTTAAAAAAATTAAAAGCCTAGAGTTATAATCTGTTGAATAATTTAATACTTCCATATTCATGTCCTTAAAAGTAACATTTACTAGTGGCAAGTTCATCTTACAGGCCTATTTATTCTATTAGAAACTTCTGAACAACAAAGATTATACAATTTCTTCTTGCTTGGCCCGTAAGTATTAGGGATACAGCACCAACATCTAGAGCAACAAGGAACATTTTCTTTCTATGTAAAAACAATACATTTGTGGATTTCCTATATTAAAGTTTCCACACTGTTCTGACTCCTGAAATTACAACAGAGATATTAACAGAAACTACATGAAAAGAAAAAGTGAAATATCTGCTTAGAGCATAGGGGAAATGCTAATCAGCAGCCAGAGCTTGAAAATCGTTTAACTGCCAGTGTGGGTGATCTGATTCATACATTTCAGGGGTGCAATAAATAAAGAGTTTTAAGACAACAATCGAATAGGCAGGGTTTTCCCTGCTCATGAGCTAGTCTCATGCTCTACCTTCATCTCATGGTGCTGGTCCAGCTGCTCCAGTTCCAGAGGGCTTTCCCCATTTTCCCTCTCTTGTACCTTGGTTTCTGTTTCTGCCCCTCTTTCTTCTAGGGGGAGCACTGGGCCTATGCCTGGAGTCCTGTAGCTACTGTCAGAAGCATTTCCATCACAGCTGTCTGTTGTGGGTGATGCAGGAGCTGTGGCAGTTTCATCTCTTTCTCCATTCACTATGTGCGTATCAAGCAAGGGTTCAGAAGCTTGAATAGAAGTATCTGAGCTAAGAGTGGCAGCTTTCTCCTCCTCACATTCCATCTGGTTTTGTGCTGCCATTACACCGTTGGCCACACAAGTCTGTGCACCCTGAGTCTTATCTGTATCATTTCCCTGCCTCTGTGGCAAGTGCTGGGAGAGGAGTTTTTGTTGAGGTGTGGTTGTCAATCCATGCCTTCCTGGGGTTCTAGGAGCATTTAGGTTCACAGCAGACTCTTTCTTCAAATCACTATAATTTGATAATGAGCTAAAAGATAAAATACAAAGGAAGCATGAAAACATTGGTATGGAAAAGTTCTAGAATTAAGACAAGTTTATTCCAGTTGAAAAGGGATATTCGCTACTTTTTTTTTCTATCTCTGATGGTTTCAGAAACATGGATTTGAATATTCTTAGTGTAGACCCAAGTCTCTTGGGATGCTATCCACATTTAAATAAAGATTTAAATAAAGAAGATGACCCCGAGTCTACCTATGGGGACTGGAACATTTCCTTGGGCTGTTTATTTTATTTATAACTTATTTATTTATT